>NC_000006.12:158252608-158404123 GCF_000001405.40 Homo sapiens
CATGATCTGCCCGCCTCGGCCTCCCAAAGTGCTGGGATTACAGGTGTGAGCCACCGCGCCCAGCCAGCATCTTACATAACTAGAGCATTTGTCAAAACTAAGAAATTAACATTGGTACATTATTATTAATTGAACACTAGACTTCTTTCAGATTTTGCCAGTTTTTTCTTTTTTTCCCCTTATCAGAATGGCCACTCCGTAGGCAGAGCAGCCCGGTTTTTTCACTAATGTACTTTTTCCAGGTTACCACATTGGATTTAGATGGGGTGGGTTTTTCTATCCGCGTTTGTGTAGAACTTTACAGCTTTACAGTTCAGTCCTTTCACACACATATGGTAATTTAGATGGAAAATAATCTTAGGCATTGGTCTTATTAGACGCATCTGCTCCATGAAGCTTACGCGTTGGCAGGGATGCTGCTTTGCATGTGTGAGGCCACAAGAAACTTGGGCATAGAAATCCCATGCGAATTGTCAGTCACTGCTTCTATTTTCCATTATTTGTTCATCTTAATTCCCTAAGATGTTTTGCTCTCACTCTGCTGTCTCGTTCTTTTGCCTGGACCTGAGTGGAAAATTAGGATATGTTGTTGCTGATTTTTAAGTCTAGGAGAGAAAGTCACCCTCACTGTGAGGAAGAATGTATTCCTATACATCACCCTCCAGGATCTAGGTGTGAGGCATGACCAGTCTTCCAACTTTATTGCCTAGACGAGACATGTTGCCTGAATAAACACGTGTCTTACTCTTCAGATAGGTTTGAAAATCTCTGTGGCCTGCTCTCCTGTCTCTGCCCTGCCGTAAGTGGAGACAGATGGACAAAACTAAGAGATGGAGAGGGCGGGCAGGGAATTAGGCAGAGCAGGCTGCATGTTGAGTGGCTTCATGTCAGGTGGGCTACCTGGTCAAAAGAGCATTAGCAGGGAGGCCTTAGATGCCTCTGGATTTATTATCTTGTGGCTTCTCAGCTTACACCTGTTAATGTTAGTTGACCTGAGCTTTCTCATGGGTGACCAGTAGTAGCTTCTATTTGTGCATTCAAATAATCTCCCCTCTTTCTAACTAAAACACTTTTTTTGATTTTCTTAACATTTTCTGACCTACAGAACGCCACTGCCCTACCTTTCCATATAGAAGACAGAATGTGCCGAGCATGGTGGCTCATGCCTTTAATCCCAGCACTTTGGGAGGCCAAGGTGGGCGGATCACCTGAGATCAGGAGTTCGAGACCAGACTGGCCAACATGGCGAAACTCCGTCTCTACTAAAAATAGAAAAATTATTAGCTGGGCTTGGTGGCAGGCACCTGTAATCAGAGCTACTCGGAAGGCTGAGGCAGGGAGAATTGCTTGAACCCAGGAGTCGGAGGTTGCAGTGAGCTGAGATTGCCCCACTGTACTCCAGCCTGGGTGATAGAGCAAGACTCTGTCTCAAAAAAAAAAAGAAAACAGTGAGAATCTGATTATTGTGCATGCCTATGGAGGAGGGGTCAAGGAAAGAGTGGAGAAGGGAATCCTGGTTTTGGCCTCCAACCAAGTCATTAGTAAATCAGTGGAGACAGAGTCTTGCTCTGTGGCCCAGGCTGGAGTGCAATGGCATGATCTCGGCTCACTGCAGCCTCCGCCTTCTGGGTTTAAATGATTCTCATGACTCAGCCTCCTGAATAGCTGGGATTACAGGAATGCGCCACCATGCCTGGCTAATTTTTGTATTTTTAGTAGAGATGGGGTTTTGCCATGTTGGCCAGGCTGGTCTCAAACTCCTGACCTCAAGTGATCTACCAGCCTTGGCCTCCCAAAGTGCTGGGATTACAAGCGTGAGCCACCACACCCAGCCCAGAAACACCATTTTTAAGGTAGATGTCCATTAGTAGATTACACATACTTCAGTTTGGCCAGATAAGAGTGTTGGCCTTTTCTCCAAGGAGTTTTTTTGAATGGTTTGTGACTTTTTCCACTGTAAGTGATAATCATTGCTTACTTATGTTTAACCCCTAGTTTACAAAGTATTTTTCCACATATGCCATTTCATTTGGTCTTCACAGCCACCTTGCACAATATGTCAAGCACATATTTTTGTATTTTATGAGAAAACTAAGGCTGAGATTTGCCTGTAGTCATGAGATGTTAAGCAGAAGTCTTGAGACTTGAGTCTGCATCTCCTGATTAAAAACTCTGTGTTCCGGCCAGGTGCCGTGGCTCACGCTTGTTATCCCAGCACTTTGGGAGGCTGAGGTGGGTGGATCACCCGAGACCGGAAGTTCCAGACCAGCCTGGCCAACATGGCGAAACCCTGTCTCTACTAAAAGTACAAAAATTAACTGGGCATGGTGTCAGGTGCCTGTAGTCCCAGCTACTCAGGAGGCTGAGTCAGGAGAATCACTTGAACCCAGGAGGTGGAGGTTGCAGTGAGCTGAGATTGCGCCACTGCACTCCAGCCTGGGTGACAGAGTGAGACTCTGTCTCAAAAACAAAACAAAACAAAAGCAACAGAAAAACTCTGTGTCCCTTGTCTTACTCCCTCACCCCCACCCTGTGGCCTCCCTCTGCATGGATCCTGTCATGTTTATGAATCCCCCTGCAGGTGTTGCTGGAGGGGGCTTTCTCTTGGCAGTTGTAGACACTGTTGGGGACCAGAGCATGTACCCTAAATTGATAACCGGCAGACCCTGTCGAGTGCATATCTAATGTTCTTTCTTCCCTTCTTTCTAAGTAGAATTGGAATTTTGTTTAGAGAGCCTCTTGTCTCCTGTGTGACTCTGGGGAAGGTGATCTTATCCCTAGCACTGGGGTAAATCCTGACTGGTTTCAGCTAGTCACATGGGTCCCATTCTCCGTAGGTGATGACTGTAGGGGTGAGCCAGAGACCTAGTTCTGGTCAGTGAGATTAGTGGGAGGTCTGTCCAGAGGTTCTGGAAAACTCAGCCTTACAGCAACAACTCTAAGAATGGTGGCCTTTTCTTCCTCTGAAAGTTGTCATGTCTGGGTGTGGTGCCTGGAACTGTTACAATTGTTTTGCTACTGGTCTGAGCATGAAGCCAACATCAGGTTAAGGACTGAGCCAAGCCAACAGCAGAGAGAACTCTGCAGAGCCCCAGTGCACCATGCTTGGCACCCACTAACCTTGGACTTGTTCTGTGAAATAAATTTTCTTATTGTTTACACCAATTTAAGTTAGGGTTATCTGTTATTTGCAACCGAAGATGTGCTAACTGATGCAATAGCTGTCATTCTTTCCCTCATTGCATGAAGAAGTACAGGGTATAAAGGCAGAATTGATCTAGTCAGAAGGTCAGAGGTGGCTTCCCTGGGGAAATGCAGAGGCCTTGGTGGGAGAGATCCCTTTTCTTGCTGGGCCTCGTGTGCCACATTTAAGGATTTTGGTCTTTATCGCAAGAGCAGAGCCTGTTATAGGTTTAAGTACTGGGCTATGGCATGAATGCAGTGAACTCTTACTATTTAAAGTAACTCTCTAGTTACTTAAGCTACTCCTCCTGAAGAACACCTTGGCTTAACATTCCAGAGTTGAGTTTGATTTGCTGAGCAGGCAAGGAGCAGTCAGTGGTTAAGGCTTTGGTGATTAGTAGGTGTGTCCAGAAAGCACAGAAGAGCATCTTTGCTTGGAATCTGATGAAGTGAACAGCCCAGATTGTTTTCTTTTTTCTTTGCCAGTGCGTGCATGTGTGTATGTGTTTCTGTATGTATGTATATATATAACTTCTGTGTGTGTGTGTATACGTGGTATGTATACTAACATGTACACACATATACCACACTCACACAGGCAGCTTTCATGTTTTCTACTTTAAGGGTAACTTGTGAACATCCTGTTGTTCTCTAAGTCTTTGATCACTTCAATAAAAAAGTTGCAGCCGAGAAACCAAGAAACCTGTTGGCGGTTATAAAAACAAGATTGGTGGTCTTATTGTAAATAAAATGTTGAGGATGTATTAATATGTCTGAAATTGAACTTTTTAGCATTTCCAAAAGTTTTCCTTTAGATTTGATATAAGATCTGCTCTCACTCTTATACATATGGATATATTAGCAAAACTGGATTACAGCCCAGTGTAATCAGGCAGGGAACCTGTCTGAACCATATAGTGGAACTGCAATGAAAAGCTACAGTATTCTTGTAATTATATTAGGACGTGATGTCGTCCCTCCCTATGTTTATTAATTAGTGGAGTTGTAATGAGACTTCCCCCCTATGCTTTTAAGGATGCTGATCAGTGGGTATCCAGGCAGGATTTTAGTTGTGTTTGGGAGCCTTCTGTGTAAAGGTGGGAGGGATTGGTGTTTCAGGTGGCAGCAGGTGAGCCTCCTGCCAAGTTGGCATAATGGGAACAGGACTCTCCTGAGCTGCCATCTGTTTGTGGCTGATAGGAAACCAGCAGTGATTTCTGAGGAGTGAGGAACTGTTCCATTTATGTTGAAATATTTAGAAATTAGTAATGTTAAGACCGTGCTGATCAGGCTTAGTAGCCTGATCTCCAACCAGGTTAGTAGGTTGGAGAAAATGGACTGTGGAGTGAGTTTTTGTTGTTACTCATTTCAGAAGATGCCTACTTTGTTTGACAACCCCTGCCCCCTCTCCCTCCCAAAAAACAAAAAGCCAGGACTCTGTTCGTTTCTGCCCACCCAGACTCACCACTCAGGTCAGCCTCAGCTCTGTGCTTAGTTGCCTCAGGCCAGGGAACATGTTATTTATACGGCTGTCACATGTACACTGCCTGTGGTGTGTTTGCAATGGAGGGAATTCAGTCTGTCTCAAACTCTTATGATGTGTCTTTTTAAAAAAGTGTGGTAAAATATACATAACAAAATATATTATTGTAATCATTTTTCAATGTACAGTTCAGGGCCATTAAACAACATTTATATTGTTGTGCAGCCGCCATGGTGTGTCATGTTTCAACCAGGTGCTTTCATGGACTTTAAAAATAACGGTTGCTTCTTCTGTATGATGAATCATCAGCATGTTTTCTCTAATATGATGTCCCTTTGGTTTTGCAGCTTGCATTTACTTCTTTCCTGTAGGAGTTGATTAGGTGAATGGAGGTGCTGTGCCCACATTTCTTCTGGGTTTGATTTGCTGCCCTTGCAGCTGGGGAAGCTGTACCCTCCATGTATGTTGTCTCTGATGGTATCCTGAAAACTTTACTTTGTCTCCCCCATATTATACTCTCAAAGCAGCGGTACGAAATAGAGAACAACTCATTTCCCCTTTAACCTAGCATTAGTTGGTAGGTTGGCTGGAGGAGTTAAGTCTGTGGCCCAAGGGCCTACCAGAAAGTTGCTGTGGAGCGCTGCAGTGGCCTGGTGTGGAGCTGCAAGTTAGGGTTCTGTGGTCTAAGCCCTGCCACGGGAGCAGGTTCCAAGGGGTGGCTGATCTCTTTTTGGCTCTAGGACTCTGCTGGGTTCAGTCAACCACCTGTAGGTTTCTATCTTGCCTCTTTCAAAACAATCAGCGGAAAGGACTGTAGAACCCTCTATTAGTCAGGGGATTCTTGGTTACTGGTGAAAGAGACCTAACTCAACTAACACAAAAAAAGGGAATTCGTTGGAAGGATTCTGGGCTGTCTACGGAATCCAGGTCAGGAGCCAGGGATTGGGCTAGGATGCTGCATGGATGGGGCCAGGAGGACACTCTTTCTTTCTCTCTTTTGTCTTCTGCCTCTTTTCCAGCTGTCCACTCCCTCAGTGTTTCTGAGTTATTCCTTTTCTGTCATGGACCAGCAGTCTCTGCTGTTTGGTCCAGGTGGCACAACATGGCTGCCAGCCCCATGTTTTTCATATTATGACCCAGGTGTCCAGAGAGAGACTATTTTCTTTGTGTTCCAGAATTTCCAGGGAAGAGCTGATGAGTTGGTGTAGAAAATAGTGACTTCCATGGTAATGGTGGGAGGATGGAAGCCATTAAGGAAGTCGTTGAGGTTCAGCAGAAGGTCCGTCCTTGCTGCAGTTTATAAAAATGTTAGAGACACCACTCCAACAGTTAACAAATAGGAAAGGACCTGGGCTGTGAAAGCTCTGAAGCCTTGCATTAAAATTTAAAGCAAAACAAAACAATCAAATAAAAAACTAAATTAAAACAAAATGCCGCCATCACCAGTGCTAACAAAAAATCCTTCAAGATTGAAAATTTGAACCTGCTGAACAAATTCGGAAGCTGCTTTTTGTAAAATCAAATTTCTTTTTTAGTAAAATAAATTATAGCTTATTTTCACGTCAGCATTATTTGAGCTTAGAGAAATTGTGGCCAAAGTTTAACCAAGCAGGGTAGCTTGACATGGGATATATATACCTGAAAAAACAGGATAAATATAAATATTCTAAATTTGCCAGGTATAGTGGCTCATGCCTGTAATCCCAGCACTTTGGGAGGCTGAGGCGGGTGGATCACCTGAGGTCAGGAGTTCGAGAACAGCCTGGCCAATATGGTGAAACCCCACCTCTACTGAAAATACAAAAATTAGCCAAGGGTGGTGGTGCGTGCCTGTAATCCCAGCTACTCGAGAGGCTGAGACAGGATAATCGCTTGAACCCGGGAGGTAGAGGTTGCAGTGAGCCGAGGTTGCGCCATTGCACTTCAGCCAGAGCTTGCTGTTAGAAGGCCCTTTTCTAAAATCTACTAATTTCATATTATAATTTGAATTTTCACTTAAATTAGTGTGTGCCAGTGGATCTGTCCTCCCTTGCTGTCATTGTATCTCATCAGGGTCACTGATTCATTGTTAGATCACATACTCCACTGACTTTTGAGGTTATGAAAAATAGCTCTTCCTCTTATGGTTGTTTGGTTATGCACATAGATATCTTCTGTGATTTTGAGAACTCTATGGAATTCAGTTGGGATTGAATATTCTGTGTGAATTGTGAACCTGTATGCAGTAATCCAAGGTGAATTGAAAGCATCATTTATTTATCGCAGTTTTGAACCACTATTAACTAAATATCCGAACAGTGGCTAAGAGGTCATAATGCTTTGACACCAGTGCTCTAACACCAGCTTGGTGTCACTTCAACTCGGTTCTGACACCAACCACCTGAACTGAATGTCAGACATGAGTTCTGCAAGGCTGCTCTCATGGCAGATACCAATTGCAAGTCTTCATGCTACCTGGACTTCTGACCAACTGGCTGTAAATTTGGGGATTCCACCACCTTGTCAGTTTTGATAATTTGCTAAAACAACTCACTAAACTCACAGAAGATGGTTTTATGATAAAGGATACAACTCAGGAACAGCCAAATGGAAGAGACACATAGGGCAAGACCTGGGAGGGTCCTGGATGCCGAGCTCCCATGCCATGGAGTCAGGGGCATCACCCTCCTGGCACATCAATGTATTCATCAGCCAGGAAGCTCTTTGAGCTCAGGTGTTTATCGTATCAGGGTCTTATGACATCGTTGGTCATGTGATTGAGCTCAGTCTCCAGCCCCTCTTCTTCCCAGAGGTCAGGGGTGGGAATGGAAGTTCTGGCCCTCTAATCATATGCTTGGTCTTTCTGGAATGGCCAGCCCATCCCTTGAAATGCTCTAAGGGCCCACCCTCTGTCACCTCATTAGTGCAGACTCAGATGTGGTCAGAAGTGACTCTTCACAGATAACAAAAGACACTCCTGTCACCCAGAACATTCTAAGAGTTTTCGGAGTTCTGTGCCAGGAACAAGGGCAAAACCCAGATATATTCTTTCTACCACATCCATGATTTAGATAAAACTTGGGTTCTTGCAGGAAGTTTCTGAGGATATTAAGATGTTCATGACCATCCTGGCTAACACGGTGAAACCCCGTCTCTACTAAAAATACAAAAAATTAGCTGGGCGAGGTGGTGGGCGCCTGTAGTCCCAGCTACTCGGGAGGCTGAGGCAGGAGAGTGGCATGAACCCGGGGGGCGGAGCTTGCAGTGAGCAGAGATCACGCCACTGCACTCCAACCCGGGCAACAGAGCGAGACTCTGTCTCAAAAAAAAAAAAAAAATGTTCATTAGTGTTTAAGCCTTCTGCATAAGGATGACAGTTGATGCTGAAGGAGATCGCCTAGGCAGAGTGAGGGGAGAAGAGGGATTTAGATAGAGTTCTGAGAAATGCCAGCATTTGAGCAGTGAGTAGAGGATGAGGGGCTGGGGAATGCCTGGGGAGGTGGAAGGGACACAAGGAGAACTGGCTGTCATCGACGCCTGGGGAAAAGTGTATTTCTTTTCTTTTCTTTTCTTTTTTTTTTTTGAGACAAGAGTTTCGCTCTTGTTGCCCAGGCTGGAGTGCAATGGCGCAATCTCGGCTCACTGCAACCCCCGCCTCCCAGGTTCAAGTGATTCTCCTGCCTCAGCCTCCCGAGTAGCTGGGATTACAGGTGCACACCACCACGACCGGCTAATTTTTTGTATTTTTAGTAGAGATGGGGTTTCACCATGGCCAGGCTGGTGTTGAACTTCTGACCTCAGGTGATCCGCCCGCTTCAGCATCCCAGAGCGCTGGGAGTATAGGAGTGAGCCACTGTGCGCGGCTGAAAAGTGTATTTCTAGATCAGTGCTCTCCAGGAGAATTTTCTGGCATGATAAAAACCATCTATATTGTTGTGCAGTAAGGTAGCTACCAGGCACGTGGAGGCTGTTGAGCAGTTGAAATGCAGCTAAGGCAACTGAGAAACATAATTTATATTTTTGTTTAATTGTACTTAATTTAACCATATGTGGCTAGTGACTACCATTTTGTACAGTGCAGTTTGATTTGAGGACATGGTCAGTGGGTTAAGAAGCATAAGCGCTACAAGTACACTTTTTCCTTTCAGCCATCACGCTCTAGGGCTGAAGTTTTAGAGTAGCTTAAGACTGTAGGATATTCCCCGCAGATAACTTAGGTAATTGGGAGCAGTCTCGGAACCTCTTGGGACCTGGTAAATGTCTTGGGCTTCAAGGGTAAGATCCAATTATTCAAATACTTAATGAACATAAATGTCAAAATGAGACAGTGATTTGATTGATGGAGAGTCTTAAAAAATAAAGGCGAGGGATATGAATTTCTTTAACGTGCAGGGTTCAGCTGCATGTAACAGAAAACTCAGGCGGCTCATACAAAATGAATGTTGACTGTTCATGTAGCGGTCTGGAGGCTGGTGGGCGTGGGCTGGTTGCATGGCTCCTGCTGATCAGGGTTCCAGGATTCCTCCGCCTTTCTCTTTCACCATCTTTAGCCTCAGAGTTCCTCACAGTGTATGATGGCTGCTGGAGCTCAATAATCACACCATGACCAGGCAGGAGGAAAAGAGAGGGTGGGAAGGGCAAAGGACTCATCTTCCAGATGAGCTAGACCCCCTTAAAGATCTTTCCTGGAAGCTCCCTCTTCACCTAACAACTTGACTTTCTGTTATGCTTCATCAGCAACAACTACATGTGAGGCGGGGAAATGAGTCCTTGATCTGGGCATTTTGCTGCCCCAAATAAAACCGGGATTCTGTTGGTGAGGAAGAAAGGGAGACTGGACACTGGGTAGAGGGCTGGCAGTCTCTGCCTTGGTGTGGAAAGGGTGCACCTCCATGCATATGGGAGAAGCACCAGTGCCTTCATTCCCTGACATCGTGTCCCTGAAGGCACCTGCTGTCACAAACACCACACCATCATTCCCACTCAGCCTCCGCAGGTTTCTCTGCAAGCTCCTTTGTAGGTTGGCGCAGCTTTGACAACATCCCTTTTGGTTCTCAGAGCTCTTCTGGAGACTTTAGTTGTGGGCTGCCTGCTCCTTAGGTTCAAGTAACTGGTAACACGCCTACGGTGCTGAGTGCTCCCTGGGAGAGCGTGTGAATCAGAGGTCAGTTTCAGAGGCACATTCTCAGGGGTCGTATTCTTCACCCAGGCCAATGACCACTGAAGTCTTCCTGCACATTGTTCTTTGCAGGGACAGCTAGCTGCTGGGCACAATGGGGCACAAACTGGATAAGGCTCCTGCCCATTCAGGAGCTTAGGTCAGTAATTTTCCTAGTTCTTCTGCAAAGAATTGAACTGTTACCCCTCCCTGCATTCTGTTATCCTTTTCAGTGAGGATTCCGGAAGAGTCTGAGAGAAGGCTGGAAGAAGGCTGGAGGGTGGTGTCATGGGATGCATGTGCAGATTCAGAAGTGGCAGGTGCAGAAGAAGAGCATCCAGGACAAGCAGCTGTCTCTATGCCACATCATTTGGCACCCTGCGATGTCACCTTGCTTTTCAGGAGTGCAGCCGGTTGTGGACATTTTGGAATTGTTTTGCTTTTGGAATGGGTGTTGGGGTGAAGCATTCTTCTGCTGGGTTTTCAGATGTAGCTCTAACTAGCCACATCACTTCAGCCAAGTCATTTCTCTCTGGGACCCGTCATCATCACTCATAATAATACCATATGTGTGGAGGTTGAGGGCAAGGAAGTAAAACAGATGTGTCTGTATCTTTGTGTCCCTGTGTCTGTGTATGATTGATGTGCCAGACTGAACATCCTACCCGTTTAAATTACCTGTGGTACTTCAGAAACCTGCTGCCAGTTTGTTAGAATATTTTTAGGTTGACATAAGATCGTTTGTTTAGCCTTTCAGCAGCTTAGCATTTTTGGATTTAATATCAGGACTTGAACTGTTGAACAGTAACCCCTGAAAGGCCACGACAGGTTGTTAGTAACTTGACTGAAGCACTAATTACAACTGGGCCTAAGCTGGGAGACTGTCTCCTAAGAACTAGACACTCATGGAGTGAATGGCTAAGTGAGCCTAGCCAACCACTTAACGTTTCAACCTCAAGTTGGTTTTATTATCCTCTGCTTAATTTATAAATAGTAACTCCTGAGCTGCTAAAGACTTTATTCCTTTGTGAAAAATACTCTAGAGAAGAAAGGCAATTATTAGTGCTATTGATGGAGGTAAATATTCTGAGGGTTATTAGCCAGAAAATAGAAATTTTGGCTAAATTAATAGGTATTAAATTTGGTAGTGGCTTGGGTCTGTAGTGGAATGAAGCTATCAAAAAGAAAAAACTAATTAGCTGGGCGTGATGGGATGTGCCTGTCTTCCCAGCTACCCGGGAGAGTAAGGTGGGAAGATCGCTTGAGCCTGAGAGGTTGAGGTTGCAGTGAGCCATGTTTGCACCACTGCACTTCAGCCTGGGCGACAGAGGGAGACCCTGTCTCAACAACAACAACAACAGCAACAACAGGCTGGGCGCGGTGGCTCATGCCTGTAATCACAGCACTTTGGGAGGCCTAGGCGGGCGGATCACCTGAGGTCAGGAGTTAGAGACCAGCCTGGCCAACATGGTGAAATCTCGTCTCTACTAAAAATACAAAAATTACCTGGGCGTGGTGGCAGGTGCCTGTATTCCCAGCTACTGGGGAGGCTGAGACAGGAGAATTGTTTGAATCCAGGAGGCAGAGCTTGCAGTGAGCCAAGATTGCACCACTGCACTCCAGCCTGGGGGATAGAGTGAGACTCTGTCTCAAAAACAAAAAAACAAAACAAAAAGCCAGAATAAAGAAAAAACTTAACAAAATTTTACTCATGAAGTAAAAGACAAAAACTTCAGTGAAATTTATGCAGCCTGTGGGGTTGGGCAGGCGCAGAGGAAGTGCGGCCTTAACAGAATCACGTTCAGGAAAAGCGCAGGAGCCCATTCAGAGGTTTTTACGGGCTCTGAGGTGGTGAGGGCAGTGGCGTGTGTCGTTGCTTAAATGAACTTCAATTTGAAGAAAGATTGCTCTGATATTTCTGGGAATTAGTGCCATTTGAGAATTTCGGAATTTATACGTATGTTGGTTTGTCATCTTCATACCAAAATCTACTTTATTTGCACATCAGTCATAAAGGTGTTTTACCCATTTGGCTTATTTGTGTGTTTAAAATTAAAACTCAAGCCATTTTCCCTCTCCAGAAAATGTGACTTGTGTAGTATGACATCTTACTGGAGTTGGGGGAAGGCTTGGTGGGCACCTGAATAAACATCGATCTGGGGAAGATGCACCTGGAGGGCTGCCTGGACAAGTCCCTGACGCTACTAGATTGCCTACTTTCAAAGGACTAGGAAACATTTTTTCAGCTTTAAAAGATTTAAAAGCCGGTGATATTTCAGAATAGTGCTGAAAGAGCCCTGCTGTTGAATGAACATTGGGAGCACCGCATGTGGGTTGTGGCAAACCCTTTATCCCATGAGGCCCTCTCTTCTCCATGCCTCTAAGTTCTACAGACCATCAGTGCCGCCCCTGAAATGTCCTGTCTTAAATAGAATGCCTTGAACCATACCTCTGCATCAAAAATGTGGAGCCGGGGGAGCTCCAAGGACTGGGGATTCTCTGTGCCTTCAAAATGACAAGTTAGAAGTACTAAGGTAAAAGCAGAAAAGCATCTGTGAGGGACTAACTTCAGGTGGTGCCTCTGACAACACAGAGCAGTCAAGTTACTACTGTGCATTTAACAGGGCACACCTTTTAGCTCTGAAAGAACCTTAACTTTTTCAGTGCTTCTTTACCAGCACTGTCACCACTGGTCTTTACAGCGTTCTTAAGAAAGGGCAGAGCAGATAGTCTGTTCACTTGCAGATGGGAAAGCTGACTTTCGGGGAGCTGAGCCCCATGCCAGGTCTCTCAGCCAGGAAATAGCAGGTTAGCCAGAACCTGTCTTCTGATTCCTGGTCTGATTCTTTTTCCATTTCACTTTCCCCACCCCTCCTTTTTAAAATAAATTTTATTTTATGACAACTTTACTTACTTGCTTATTTAGAGCTTAACCTTCTCCCACAAAACATTTGAGGTGGCTTAAATGTAGTGGCTAAAGAGGAAGTTGGCCAGGTGGGGTGGCGCACCCCTGTAATCCCAGCACGTTGGGAGGCCGAGGTGGGCAGATCACGAGGTCAGGAGATCGAGACCAGCCTGGCCAACATGGTGAAACCCCCGTCCCTACTAAAAGAAAAAAAAAAATTAGCTGGGCGTGATGGCATGCCTGTAGTCCCAGCTACTTGGGAGGCTGAGGCAGGAGAATTGCTTGAACCTGGGAGGCGGAGGTTGCAGTGAGCCAAAATCGTGCCACTGCACTCCAGCCTGGTGACAGAGCAAGACTCCATCTCAGAAGAAAAAAAAAAAAAATTTTGGCTCAAGTAAGGCAAATACTTTTTTTTTCTTAAGCATTGAGAATGAGGATAAGAAGAAAGCTGTTTCTTTGATTAAACTTAAATCTTACCTGTGTGCCCAGACCTCCCCACCAGTTCTTAGATCATTGGACAGCACCCCCAATATTAAGCATGTATAAAACTTTTGTATTTCACTCCAAATTCAGGATGCCATGAATGGAGAAAGGAGTAACACATGAGGGAGCTTCGTGGTTATAGCCATATTGCCTTTACCTTTTTGGTATTATACTTACTGTATCATATTTTGCTATTTTTGTGTGTTTAAACATGAAAAGTAGTAAAATAGTACATTTGTAAAAGGGGGAAAATCACCCCTAGCTTCCACCATTGTTATAACTCTTAAGCATAGCATTCTCTTGAATTCTTTCCTCATAGGCACTTTTTTCCAAAAAGTTCTAAGCAACATTTTAAACACTGTTGGAAGCTTTTAAAATTTAACATAGCATAAGCATTTTTCATGTTTTAAAGTGGTTTTCATAATTATACTTCTTTTTGAAAAATTTTTTATTGTGATAAAATTTACTTTTTTTATGGAGACAGGGTCTCACTCTTATCCAGGCCGGAGGGCGGTGATGCAGTCACGACTCACTGCAGCCTTGACGTCCCGGGTTCCAGCGAATCTCATGCCTCAGCCTTCCCAGTAGCTGGGACTACAGGCACGTGCCACCACGCCCAGCTAATTTTTGTATTTTTTGTAGAGACATGGTTTCACCTTGTTCCCAGGCTGGTTTCGAACTCCTGGGCTCTAGCAATCTGCCCATCTTGGCCTCCCAAAATGCTGGGATTATAGGTGTGAGCCACTGTGCCCAGCTAAAATGTACCATTTTAACCATTTTAAAGTATATAGTTGGCTCTACATATCCGCAGGTTCTGCATGTGAGGACTGAAAACGTTCAAAGAAAAAAAATACAACAAAAATATAGTAGAACAATAGCATTTACGTTGTATTAGGTAATATAAATAATCTAGAGATGATGTATATGAGGGATGCATATGGGTTATGTGCAAATAATATGCCATTTTATATGAGAGACTTGAACATTTAAGGATTTTTTTATCTACATGGGTCCTAGAACCAACCCCCATCGATATTGAGGGACAACGGTATAATTCAGTGGCATTAAGTACGTTCCTGTTGGTGTACAGCCATCATCGCTATCCATCTCCAGAACTTTTGTTCATCTTCCCAAACTGAAACTCTGTGCCCATCAAACACTTCCCTTTTACCCCTTCCCCAGCCTCTGATAACCACCATTCTATTTCTGTGTCTATAAATTTGACTACTCTAGATACCTCATATTAGTGGAATCATAAAATATTTGTCTTTTTATATCTGGCTTATTTCACTTAGCATGATGTTCTGAAGGTTCATCCATGTTGTAGCATGTGTCAGAATGTCCTTCCCTTTCAAGGCTGAATGATATTTCATTGTATGTCAATACACATTTTGTTAACCCATTCATCTGGGTTTTTTTCTTTCTATAATCCAGGACAGTGCTGAAACCCATTCATCTGTTGATGGACACCGGGTAATTAAACTTTTTGAAGACATAATAGGCCATCAAGTAGATAAATCATACTAGAAGATGCAATTTTTGCCCTCAAAGAATACTGAAGTTGATATGCCAACATGTCAAACACAGAAGATGAAAGCAACTAAGTGATGTGAGAAGTCAGTGTGGGTTCATACAGAGTAACCAAAGGAGGTTGTCCTTGCCTTTCATCTAGTTGTTAGACTGAGGGAGGGTAGGACCTGGGAGGATTCCAGAAGAAGGTCTTCAGTTTGATTTCTGACCCTCCCACTTCTGTTGCTCTGTTAGGCCTCTGTGTACAGTTAGCAGCCATCTCATAGTAAATCTTCCAAATAATTAGGAGGGTCACTGCTTTGTCAGGACAATTTATACCCTTTCTCAATTAGCAAATTGTGTGGCAATCCAAAGTTAACTGGAGTGTTGCTCCCCTTTTCTATTTTGCTCCCGTGTGGATGTGGTGCAAGAAGGCCTGCCAAGGTCAGCCTCCCGTTTTCCTCCGTGGGTTGGTATAGACATGTTTGTTGGCCAGACATTGCCTAAAGCCCTGTAGTCAAGGGTGGTGTGCTTGCATTTGCCTGGCTGAATTAAGGCTCTTGGTGCTTTTCTATCAGTCGAATCCCTTCTCCTCCATGTCTTCTAGAAATTGAGAAGGGTTTATCAGTGGTACCTCACTCTGTTTTCCACAGGTTTTTAAAATTTTTTTTTGTTCTTTTACATTTGTTTGATCTTTTCTTTTCTTTTCTTTTCTTTTTCTTTTTTCTTTTTTTTTTTTTTTTTGAGACGTACTTTTGCTCTTGTTGCCCAGGCTGGATTGCAGTGGTGCGATCCTGGCTCACCACAACCTCTGCCTCCTGGGTTCAAGCGATTCTTCTGCCCCAGCCTCCCGAGTAGCTGGGATTACAGGCATGCACCACCACACTTGGCTAATTTTTTTTGTATTTTTAGTGGAGACGGAGTTTCTCCATGTTGGTCAGGCTGGTCTTGAACTCCCAACCCCAGGTGATCCGGCCACTTCTGCCTCCCAGAGTGCTGGAATTACAGGTGTGAGCCACTGCACCCGGCCTTGTTTGATCATTTTAATGGGACTTTGGGGAGAGGGATAAGGTAAACAGATGGCTCATTCATCATCCTGAATTTATTTTTGTGTACTATTTATTGTCTTAGTCTGTTTGGCTGCTATAACAAAATACCTTAGACTGGGTAATTTATAAACAGTAGAAATGTGTTGCTCACAATCCTGGGAGCTGAGAAGTCCAAGAGCAAGGCACCAGTGGACTTGTTGTCTGGTGAGGGCTTGCTTAATCACTTCCCAAAGGCCCCACCTCGTAATGCTATTACATTTGGTATTAGGTTCCAACATAGGAATTTTGGGGGGACACCAACATTTGGATCATAGCAATTACATTTTCCTATTTTACTGAACTCTTAATTGTTCTGATTTCATTTGATTCTGTTGGGTTTTCCAGATGGAAAATTATATTACTTACAAATCAGGGTGATTTTTGGCTCTATTTTTATATGACTTTTTTCTATTTTTATATGACTTTTTTTCCTGTTGTAATATTTTGCTTGTAATTTCTAGAATGATACTGAATAGCACTTTTGGTGAGCATCTTTGGCTTAATCCTCCCTTTAGCCTTTAGCACTGTTGGCTTTAGTCACTTTCTGCATATTGCCAAATTGCTTTTTGGAAAGCTGCACTAGAATTGGAGAGTGCTTGTCACCCATGTCCACACCCAAGCTTAGTGACCAGAGCATTGTGAAGGGTCTTTCCAATTTGTGGCTCTTGTCATTTTAAAATTAAATTTGGGTTTGCCATTTATTATTTTTTTCTAGAAATTCTCGAGTCTGAGAATATGAGAATAGAGTTGGCCTAGGTTCATACATTGTTTTGTTCTCACCAGATAATTACACAACTTTTTCTTCCTATTCCAAAGTAACAGTGTTGTGGAGTGGAAATTACTGTTGTTAATTTTAGCACCATAGTTTGGTGGAAAAAAGTATGGGTCTTGGAGCCAGATATCAGAACTAAGCTATGTCACTAATAGCCTAGTGACTTTTCATAACCTTACTTAAACTCTTTGAACTTTAGTTTCAGCATTTGTAAAAAAAAAAAAAAAAAAAAGGATTTTCCTGTCTCACTGGGAGACTGAGAACATGGAGTAAGATGCAAAGTGGGCCCTTCCTTAGTAATGGAGAAATCATTAGCATTCACATACAAGGCCATTCAGCAAGAATTCGTTGCCATTTGAGATTTTGATAGACTTTAATTTTGATCAGAGATAATTTTAACCTTTTTTTCTCCGTGATTCTTCATCCCTGATTTCCAGATGGAATCAGGGTCAATGATAATTGTCTCTGCATATTTCTTTAATAATCTATTTTATTCCAGATTTTAAACATTGCTTAATGGGTAGAATATAAATGAAATTGCAAAAGCAATGTCCAACATTTATTTAGCACTTTACTATGTGGGCAGGTAATTAAGTACTTGACATATGTTTATTTAGTCTTCCCAACATTCCTACTTCTTGGGAAATGAAGGTGTTTGAAAAGTTACCCAGTCAGGTGGTGGGAGAGCCAGGCCCGGTGCCCGGCAGTCTTGCTGCTGAGCTGCTGTCACTGTTCTGCCTTTGTGGTCTTCACAGGGTTGCTCCCTTTATTCCGTGTTCCTTAAGCCCATTTTATTGCTTCTAGATCTAGGAAAAAACAAAAACACTGAGTTTTTGAAAAGGCTAATTGTTTTAAAGTTAAATAGTAAGTGTCAAATGTACAGCATTCATATCTATTAAATATACGTTAATTCTACTCTGTAGCAGTAAGACCCTTTCCTATCCAGGCAGTATAATTAGATCTTCTATATATCTTTAATAGCCTTCTATTTATCTTAAGAACTCTGGCTTAATTTTCTCTTGGATTATTATAAAGTCTTCATTATTGAGATATTTTTGTCAGTAAATTGTCCTTACTTGGTCCAACTTGGAGCTCTCTTTCTTTGTTTTGCTCTTGCATCATCATCTGAAGACCCTACCTTGGCTTTATCCTGCCAGGGACCGGTCATTCCAGCAAGATTCTCTCAACTCTGCTCCACAGCACTTTTTTGGCTCTTGATTACAGGATTTACCTTGTAGTATTGAAGTTGGTTTATTTTGCCCATCTTCTCTCACTGTGTAGGGTGCTTCTCGGGGCTAGGGACTGGACTTCGATGAGTTTTGCATTGTCAGCACCCGGCCTGTTCGGCCTGTGGTGGGCACTCACTAAGTGTCTCTGGTACCGGGGCCGGTGATGGGCACTCAGTTAGCGTCTCTGGCCTGAGTGTTGCTTGGCTGCTTTCCTGGTTTGACACTGCACTTTAGACTATTGCAGCTAAAATTAACACACATCATCTGTTGATGTGATGCTTGCCTCCTTTTAAGCTTTTCTCAAGCTTTCAAAATTTCTTCCTGAAGTTTTTCCTTCACAGATGAAATTGCTCCTGAATTAGAGGTGATTTACTCCAGGCTTCCTTGTGCTTAAATGTGGCAACTTTCAAGGCTGCCTTCATTTTTGCCTCAGAGTTTATAAAGCAGCTTAGTGTGAATAGATGCTGTAGGGCCGGGCACAGTGGCCCATGCCTGTAATCCCAGCACTTTGGGAGGCTGAGGCAGGTTGATCACCTGAGGTCAGGAGGTCAAGACCAGCCTGGCCAACATGGTGAAACCCTGTCTCTATTAAAAATACAAAAATTACCCAGGCATGGTGGCAGGTGCCTATAATCCCAGATACATGGGAGGCTGAGGCAGGAGAATGGCTTGAACCCAGGAGGTGGAGGTTGCAGTTAGCCGAGATCGCGCCACTGTACTCCAGCCTGGGTGACAAAGTGAGACTCTGTCTCAAAAAAAAAAAAAAAAAAAAGATGCTGTACTGAGTTTATTTAATATAAGCAGTTTTATGTTAGTCACTGCTCTGTTGAGTTTTGTTTCATTTTCAATTGTTGCTTCTCATGTGGTAATGAAGAAAGCATTTAAAGGCCAAGTTAAGTGGGTGCCTAACCAAAATAGGTCCAGCTTCCTCAAGTTGTGTCATGACTTGTTGATGAGGAGGAAGGGCAAGGAGACATCTAACTCTCACAGGCTTTGTCTCTTGTAGCTCAGATAGGGTTTCTTTAATCCATTTTAGAATTTTTTTTTTTTTTTTGAGATAGGTTCTTGCTCTGCCACCCAGGCTGGAGTGCAGTGTGCCATCATAACTTGCTGCAGCCTCAAACTCCTGGGCTCAGGCGATCCTCCCACCTCAGCCTCTGAGTAGCTGGGGCTACAGGCGGGTCACCACATTTGGCAAATTTTTAAATTTTTTGTAGAGATGGGGTCTCACTCTGTTCCCCAGGCTAGTCTCAAACTCCTGAGTTCAAGCCATCCTCCTGCCTTGGATTCCCAAAGTGCTGGGATTACAGGCATGAGCCACCACGCCTGGCCCCACATTAAAAATTTTGAAACGGTAGCTTTGATTCAGGTGTAACTGTCCTCCTAAAGAAAAATAAAATGTTCTGAGAAGTTTTAGTTTAAAGTTGGAAAGCACTGAGAATAAATCTGTTTTGGGGGAAACATTGAAATGCTACGTTTGAAAATCTGTAGAATTTGCTTCAGGTGAGACAAAGGATGGGGTAAGTCATTGAAAGGACTCACTGGGACACATGTGCAGTGGAGGGTTTAAAAGTATTTGCGGAAAAATATTTAGAACGTTTAATTTCTAAATTAGAAATGTATGAGTGAATTTAGGGGGAAGGGGCTGGTTAAGTACCCAGGGATTGGTTCCACAGTTGCTGAGCATACACTGTCACCAAGTCAGATGTGGCTACTGTCCTCGGGGAGGTGACAGGTAGAGGAGAAAGCCTTATCCACTAGGTTTTAATTCAAGGTGCCAAGGACCATGTGATGTGGCAACAGGTGCATTTCAAGCATAAAGAGGTGGAATTTTTCAGTTGGGAATTACCAGTGGTCACCAATGTTTTTATCATCAGATTCTTTTTATATTTTCTTTCTTCCTCCCTTCCTGCCCCAATGGCTATGATCTTATTACTAGCCAAGAATTGTTGTTCAGTACAAGATAATGGTATTAATAGCTCGTATTTGTTTTTTATGCTTAATGTGAGCTGAATGAGGGAGAGGCTGGAGCTGAAGAAGAGGATCTGGCAGTGAGTGCTGTGGAACCTCAGCATCCCAGGCCAGCCAAGGCAGAGGAACAAGCAGAGGAGACAGAAAGAATCACAAGGGAGGAGGAAACTATCAGGAAGTTCCTTTAGAGAGCTTACAATTAACTCACTGAAATCCCTCCACAGCTGCCTGAGATAGGTTTTGTCATACCTCCATTTTACAGTTGGGGAAACTGAGACCTTGAGTAGTTAAGTAGCATAGCTCTAATGCAGGAAGTAGTCATTGACAGACCCAAGATTTGAAGTGAGGCTGTCAGCCTCCTGAGTTCCCCTTCTTAATCACTACTGCTTTCCAAGTTTCTAGAGTGTTTCAGTCAAAAACAAATGTGACAGTTAGGTTTGTGTAACTTTACTATAGTAGATGTGTAGTTCTCAATACATACTTTATCTTAGCTAGAAGGCTAAGGAAACGATCAATATGTGTTTTAAATATTGAAAAAGAGCTTATGGACTTTGATTATTGGGTTTGTAGATGCATAGAGATCTCATGACCTGGCTTTGGGAATCTGGTCCGATCTTGTCATTTTGCCTTTGGCGAAAGTGAAGGCCCTTGTTGAGGGACCTACCCGACACTTCACTGGAGCTTGAGCCTGGGTCTCTTGAGTCCAAGGACAGAGTTTTTCCCATTGTACTATGATGTCCTTGGAATGTGTGTTCTTCACACAGACAGTGTTGCCAGTGAAAGTTAGGGAAAGTCAAAATGGGTAAGATGCTAAAAGAACAGATAAGCTTCAGGAGCCACATCCAATGTCTTCATTGAACTGGACCTTTCTGCAGGCCCTCTCTTTGCTCAGGTGTTGAGACTCCCCTCTCTGTTGGTTTCCTCCTCCCTGTTCATTCTTCCTTCTCACCCTCCTCTGCTGGCTCCCTACCTTTATTTACCTGACGTGGGGTTCCACAGGGCTCACCACTAGAGCCTTTCCTCCATCCTCATCCTCCCTCACTGGGCTTAGTATGTTCTGTAGTTCTGTAGTTAAAACTGACCTTTATGTCGATGACACTGACTTATCTCCAGTCTATACTTTGACTCCGAGGTTCAGATGCAAGTGTCCAGCTATTTACTTGACCCTGCCATTTGGATGTCTCCTAAACATTGCAGACTCAACATGCCACATCTGCTCATGGCAACTCCATGCCCTGTCCCATTCTTCTTCAGCTCAATTACTGCCACCACCAATTGGGAATTATTCATAACTGTAATAGCTGACACTTACTGAGAGTTTATTATGTGCCGGCACTGCCTCAAAAATATTACACGAATTAACACAAATAATCTGTCTGGTCCTAACAATAGTACCATGAGGTAGGTTGTGGTAATAGTGATAGCTAATATAGCTCCTAGTATGTACCAGGCACAGTTTTAAGCATGTTACAGATATTAACTCATTGAATTCTTATCATAGATTCATGAGGTAGATACTGTTATTATCTCTAATTGATAGGTAAGAAAACTGAATTACAGAGAGATTAAGTTACTTGCTCCACGTCCCTCGGTTAAAACCTGCCTCCCGGGCTGGGTGCAGTGGCTCACACCTGTAATCACAACACTTTGGGAGGCCGAGGTGGGTGGATCATGAGGTCAGGAGTTCGAGACCAGCCTGGCCAACATAGTGAAACCCCATCTGTACTAAAAATACAAAAATTAGCTGGGCATGGTGGCGGGCACCTGCAGTCCCGGCTACTTGGGAGGCTGAGGCAGGAGAATTGCTTGAACCCGGGAGGTGGAGGTTGTAATGAGCCAAGATCACACCACAGCACTCCAGCCTGGGCGACAGAGTGAGAGTCTTTCTCAAAAAAACAAAAACAAAACAAAACAAAACACCACACACACAAACCAAAAGCCTGCCTCCCAGCTGCTCTCTTGTCCCTCTCTCTAATGAGCATCTTAGTGCTGGCCACCACCAGCTGTACCCGGATCACTGCAGCAGCCTCCTGCCTGTGCTTTCTGCCTTCACTCTGTCCTCTTCCACACAACAATGTTGTTCCTGAAATGAAAACCAGAACATTTCATTTAAACCTTCCAGTGGCGGCCGGGCGCAGTGGCTCACGCCTGTAGTCCCAGCACTTTGGGAGGCCAAGGCGGGCGGATCATGAGGTCAGGAGATCGAGACCATCCTGGCTAACACGTTGAAACCCTGTCTCTACTAAAAATACAAAAAAATCAGCCGGGTGTGGTGGCGGGCGCCTGTAGTCCCAGCTACTCGGGAGGCTGAGGCAGGAGAATGGCCTGAACCCAGGAGGCGGAGCTTGCAGTGAGCCGAGATTGCGCCCCTGCACTCCAGCCTGGGCAACAGAGCGAGACTCCGTCTCAAAAACAAAAAACAAAAAACCAAAACCTTCCAGTGGCTTCCCACTGCACTCCGAATAAAATATAAGCCCCTTTCTGTTGCCTACAGGCCGCTCCTAAGCAAACCCCCAACGTCCTGGTCTTTTCCGTATCCTCATACATGCCAGTCTTTCCTGCCTCTTGTTAGCCTTTTATTGATCTCTTCCATTTTGTTGTTCTCTCTGTTAGAATGTAAGCTCCCTGAAGGCTAGAGTTTGATCAGTGTAGAAAGAAATAAGTAAGAAATAAGAACAGGTTTAATTTTAGGCTATATCAGCATTCCATTTTGAAAATGTGTTCTGAGTTCCAAAAGAGCCAAATCTTACTAGACTGGAACACAGTCCAGTGCCGAGTTGTGGAGTGCTTGTATAGTTCTGCCACTGTCTGGAGCCCACGCGCTACAAGTGTCCCGCACAGTTGCAGCTGCTTTTTTTGTTGTTGTTGCTTTCCTCTTAGTCCTGCCCATCTTCTTCATTTGCCACGGTGTTTGAACTTCATGAGGCTGCTGCTGTCGAAACTGTGGTGATTCTGATGGTTCTGTGGATAGTGGAAGAAAACTGGCCAGGGACATACAGGGAGAGAAGCTGAGCCTGAGAGGGTTTGGCCATATTCCTGCCTGTGAAAGACCATGGGAGATGGTAATCTTCAAGGTCCCACACTGACCCTCACCAATTCATATTCTCCTGGCACTGATTTGCAAATTGAGCAACAAGTCTAGCCGTCTGGATGGCCACAGTTACTACTTTCTTTAGCTCTCAATGCCCATTCTAACCCACGGCAGCGCTTTGTCACTGTCCCTAGAGATTCCTTTGAACCCACCTTGATGTACATAACTACACTAATGGCAAGTTCTTTCATTTTCTTCAGTAACCAGACCTGTCAGCATGGAGCCCAAGGAAATAGGTCTTATGAGAATTTCTGTAGTAAGCAAAAACGTAGAATTTGGGGTAATATTAGTAAATAAACAATAACTTAGCAAATTAAGATCTTGTTTGTAGTTCTGCTGTGGAGGACAGTAACTCGTCATCTTATTTAAGACCCTGTGACTTTCAAAGAAGTGTCATTCTGTGAAAGTACTGAGGGAGGGTAGGCCCCTGCTGTGAATATAGGAGTATACAGTTCAGATATACTTTCTAAATATTGAGCAGGAGTAAAGACTGTAATAAACTAGGGAGACTTTTTCTTCTTTTTTTTGTTACGGCAGTCTTGCTCTGTCACTCAGGCTGGAGTACAGTGGTGCAACCTCAACTCACTGCAACCTCCGCTGCAAGAGTTTAAGCGACTCTCCTGTCTCAGCCCCCCAAGTAGCTGGGATTACAGGTGCGCGCCACCATGCCCGGCTAGTTTTTGTGTTTTTAGTAGAGACGGGGTTTTACCATGTTGGGCAGGCTGGTCTCGAACTCCTGACCTCGAATGATCTGCCCACCTTGGCCTCCCAAAGTGCTGGGATTACAGGCGTGAGCCACTGCGCCCGGCTGGGAGACTTTTTCTTCTTCCTTCTTTCTTCTTCTTTCTTTTTTTTTTTTTTTTGAGACAAGGTTTTGCTCTGACACCCAAGCTGGAGTGCAGTGGCATGATCATAGCTCACTGCAGCCTCAAACTCCTGGGCTCAAGTCATCCTCCCGTCTCAGTCTCTCAAGTAGCTGGGACTACAGGTGTGCAACCACCCCCTGGCTAATTTTTTTTTTTTTTATAGTAGACATGGAGTCTCACACTGGTCACAAACTCCTCCTTCTTCTAAAGCAACAAAAACGTGTTCTTAGTTGACAATGGAATGGTAAACATGACTCTCAGAACTGTTGTACTGAGTTCATAACTTATTTAGGTGACAGTAGGTCAATATAGATGGTGCCAGCTTGACACCCTTGTGTCATAGGGTCCCTTTGCCCAGCACTCTGTTTTTAAATTCAGAATAATTGGGAAGTGGTGGGTGCAAACCAGCACTGCCTTCTCTGCAGACCTACCAAGGTGTTATGCAAGCAGTATATTTACATAAATGTATATTGCATAAATATATAGTATATTTGCTAATAATAATACCAAGGTATTATGGAAATAGAGAAGGCCTAACTTATTAGAACCCACATGTTTGTTTGTTTGCCAAGACCTCTGCTGGTCTTCTTTTTTTTTGGTCTTTTTTTCCTTTTTTCTGTTTTTCTTTTTTGAGATAGGGTCTTGTTCCCGTTTCACAGGCTTAAGTGCAGTGGTGCAATCATGGCTCACTGCAGCCTCAACTTCCCAGGCTCAGGTGGTCCTCCCACCTCTGCTTCCCAAGTAGCTGGGACTACAGGCGCGTGCTACCACACCTGGCTAATTTTTTGTATTTTTATTAGAGACAGTTTTTCACCATTTTGCCCAGGCTGGTCTCAAACTCCTGGGCTCAAGCAATCTTCATGCCTCAGCCTCCCAAAGTGCTGGGATTACAGGCGTGAGCCACCATGCCCAGCCCTACAGCATCTATTTATGCTAGGTCTGTCTCTTGGTCTTGAATGTCATCTTTAATGACCTCTCAGTCAGGGAGGTCAGGAAAATGAGATTTCTTTGTAGCTATTAAAGAGTATCAGAGAAATTACTTTTGGTGTTGCAGCCCAAGTACATCATGGGTTAAAATGACTTTTACAGATTAGCCTGTGTAGCAATGATAATGCTTATGACATTACTTCTCTAGAAATATTTTTTCAGAATTCTGAACAACCTGTTTGTAAGAAGACTTTAACAACATAGTCCGTGGGTTAATTGGGGAGATTTATGTTAGGGCCACCAGGAGCAAGGATTAGCTTTGGCCACAGTAGCCAAAACAACTCTTGCCCCATCCCTCCCTCCTGCTCAGTGTGGCTCGTGTAGGTAGTTGTCTTGTTTCTAGTGTCACACTAGGCTTGGTTACACTGAGTTTCTGGTGGCCTGGAGGGTAACTTTTGGCCTTTGTGTGGAAGCTGTCACTTTGCACCTTAAATATCAGATCTTAATTCGGGGACTTCTTGAGATGATGTCCTTCAGTGATGCAGATATTCTGAAACAACTCCCTGTAACAGTCCCAGGTACCAGAGATATCCCTTCTTTTCTTTTTCTGGCAGCAGTAACCTTTGTGGTCTTTCTGGGCCATCTCAAGCTTGGCTTGAGGCAACTCTGTTTCCTTCACTCAGAGAGCATCATATCAACTCCCATCACCTCATCCCTGGAATTCTCTTGACTTCTTTTGCTGCTGTGGCCTTTGAACCAGAGCCCAGGCTCAAGCTTTTGTTGGGTTCTCTCAGCATAGGTGGAGGTGAATGTGGACTCCCTTCCTCTTGTGCTAAATTCATCATCATAGGCACGGAATAACTGGGCTTCAAGGGATCTTAAGTCTGTTGCATGTCGGTCAAGTGGACTGCCCTCTGTTTGCATTAGATGAAGTATTGGGGAAAGTGTAAGGTCTGTGTTTTCACAGCTCCTTTGAGACTGCTAAAGGTGTCTGGCCTGTACTGTGTGGTACAATGAGCTGTATTGACAATACAGCTTCACAAAGAGCAAGTCTAGTACTGTATCTTTCCATACAATTGTTTTGATGTAGTGCATTTTGTAGTGTTTAGAGGGGAAATGTAGAAGAAAATACTAGTTTTTTTTTTTTTTGGCTATATGCTTTAGTGTAAAATGATCCAGCACTTTCCAAAAGATATTTTTATTAGTAGTACTAAACTATTATCTGTATGCTCATGTTGATTAAATTGATCGAAAAGCTTAATTTTCAATACATATACTTAGATCTTTCCTAGAAAAAAATGTAATGTTAACTTTGATAATTCTTTTTGTTTGATGTTATTTGAGAACATTTTGACATCGTAAGTTGAGAAGAACAGTTGCTCTGATAATAGTGGGATTATTTTCTTCTTGATCATTTTACCTATTTTATTAGTTTATTTTGTTTTTTAATAGGTGCCAGCAAGTATTCTTTATTTGATTCTGATATTTTTCCCCTTTAAGCATCTTATTGAACAAATACTTTTAGAGGACCTCCTATGTTTAGGGCACTGTTGTAGAACCAGTGAAAGGAAGGAGAGCTGGAGGTAAGTTGCAGTCTCTATTTGGGGAGCTTTCCTGGGTGAGTTTAGCTTTCTTTACGTAGGCCCCATGGGGATCCAGAATACTGGCCATAGTTGTTGTTTTTTTTTGTTTTTTTTTTTTTTTTGAGACGGAGTCTCATTCTGTCCCCCAGGCTGGAGTGCAGTGGCGTGATCTCGGCTCACTGCAAGCTCCGCCTCCTGGGTTCACGCCATTCTCCTGCCTCAGCCTCCCGAGTAGCTGGGACTAGGCGCCTGCCACTATGCCCGGCTAATTTTTTTTTTTGTATTTTTAGTAGAGACAGGGTTTCACCATGTTAACCAGGATGGTCTCGATCTCCTGACCTCGTGATCCGCCTGCCTCGGCCTCCCTAAGTGCTGGGATTACAGGCTTGAGCCACCGCGCCCGGCCTGGCTATAGTTTTTGAAAATGTAGAACAATAAGTAGATATTCAGAATTCAGAACTTAAATTATATATGCTTTCTACCGTCTAGTTTAAACTTTTAAAAGATACTGTTAAATTCACACTTAAATTGCTTTAGTACGTCTTTATGATTTCAGCTCAAGTATGATAGAATGAAAATATGTTCTTTTCCCTTCACTGCTGTGTTCTGATCTTAATGTCATGGGAAGACGGTAATATTCTGTTTGACACTAATACATTTAGAAGATAATTTCTAGCCTCAGTTTATGATAGCTATGTACATTTATGAGGAAAATCTTTAACACATGGCTTACATCGTACAAAAATTAGTTTCAAATTACTTCATCTGTGTTTAATATCTGATTAATTATGTTAAGAAAAAAAGAGAAAAGAAAATGGAGACTCTCTCTCTCCCAGGCCAGCCATTTGACGATAGCGTAATTGGGAACGTGTCCTTGGCCTCTTTCCTCCTCCTCCCCGCTAGAATGGTGTAGGTCCTCTTCACTCTTAGTGAGATATACAGCAGACCTATTCATTCTCTTCCAAGAAGTTCTCAAAACAGCAGACAGCTGTGAACACTTGATACGTGTTTGGCTTGGAATTCAGCATGTGAACCTCTGCTTAGATGGTTTTTCCCTAGACCAGAGGGCTTATTTCAGAACACAGTTGTGAAGTGAGGTGATGCTTCTTTACGGCGCGGCTAAACGTGTGCCACTAACTGCGTGGATAGACGAGATGCACCACGGTAGACGTGAGGGTTTGACTTTCTCCATCCATAACTGGGAAGTTAAAGTTGACAGTTTGGTAAGAAGGAAAGTTGCGTATTTCTCGTGTATTCCATCGCCATTTCCTTTTATTTATCAACGTGAATGTTGAGAGTTGGGCCTCAGTATGAATTTTAATTAGAATTGTAGTATAGCATTAATCTTACCATGGTAGCAAGACCAGTGTAATATGAATACACTTAAAAAAAACTTATACATTAAAAAATGAATAATTGAAGCCATGCCAAGTCCATGATACTATGCATTCATGCCATTTTATCTTTTTTTAATTGCCTTTTTATTTTTGATATTTCAACTGATCATTTATTACCTTTTCCTCCCTGGTTATTTAAAGTTATCTTTTCTTCATTTTTCTTTACCAGGAATCTATTTTATTAGCGTTTTGGTACAAGTGGCTACCTGAATATAGATTTTATTTTTGTTGTGAAAATTAGTTTCTTACAGAAATTCTTCAGTGAAATTAACAAGTGCCTCATGCCAAAGGAGAAAACTGGTCAGGAGGAGTCCCTGCATAGTTTGATTTCCACTTAAATGAGGCCCTGCCTCAGTGTCTGTGCAGCTGTCTAACTGTTGGCTGCTGAGACAAGTCTGCAAGCCTAGCTTTCCTTATGGAGTGGTGATAGTTGGGTGATTAATTGAAGATATGATTTTGTATTTGAGGACCCATGCAGAAGAAAGTCTCACATTCTAATGGTCTTTGAAAGGTGCACTCTTTTAACTGTTTAAATTGGGAGAGAGAAATGCTGTAATTTGTCATCTAAATTAGAAAGTTAAGGCTGTTTTATTCTGCTTAGCACAGTGCCTGGGATGTTCGGCACTCAAGTGTTTGCACAGTGAATGAATAAATGGACAGATGGATGGATAAATAAATTTAGTTGATCTTTATTTTTAAAAAATATTTTATTTAAAAAGAAATGAATAGCAGATACCTTACATTAAACGTGAGGAGTAATAACTCACTTGTAGCTTTTGCACTCTCATTTCTTTGGGCAAATGACTGGGGTGAATGGATTATGACAGGGGGCCAGGGTGAACCACCTCACTTTGTGGGTGTTATCGGAGGGATATTTAAAAAGGCAGAAGGAGAAAGAACATCTCATTTGTTTCCATGCATTTTACTGGTATCTCAGCGAGGTAATTCAGACTTAAATCCTAGGTTGAAATTCCTGCCGTAATTTTTTTTTTTTTTTTGAGACGGAGTTTTGCTCTTGTTGCCCAGGCTGGAGTGCAGTGGCACGATCTCTGCTCACTGCAACCTCCGCCTCCTGGGTTCAAGCAATTCTCCTGCCTCGGCCTCCCGAGTAGCTGGGATTACAGGCGCCTACCACCATGCCTGGCTAATTTTTTGTATTTTTAGTAGAGATGGGGTTTCACTATGTTGGCCAGCTGGTCACCTTAGTTTTTATTTATTTATTTATTTACAGAACTGGCCTAAATGTAGTGAGGCATTTCCATTCCGGTTTTTATCCTTCCATTAGCCAGAAGGGTTGATGGGGGCAGGTGGTTACATTTCACAGCGAAGCAGGGAGGTGGGTAAATGCAGTGCCGAGCCTTAGAACCAATCCTTAGCTTGTTAGCTGGCCTCATTAAGAGTCATGATTTTTAGGGAGAAGGGGAAGGACAGGTTCTCTTTTCTATTTTGTTCATAGCATGTTTTGGACCACATTAACCTAGCCCTTAAAACACTGCTTTTACTGAGTTACCCATTAATGTTAAGCTTTTATTCATGTTTGCTATAGGAAATAATTGTAAACCCTGTTTTTACATTTGTGTGAGATTATTGTCTTTGTCCCTTCCACCATCTGATGACTCTTCCGTAGTGCTTCATTGGTGACTTTTCTTCAAAATTTAATACTGGGAAAAACATTTTTCCTGGCTAACTAGTCAGTTTCCTCATTTCTGATAAGATTTGTGTAATCTATCCTGAGTCTCTCTTTGCCCTGATGAAGAGTATACTTCAGGCCAAGTTTTTTATAGTTTGCATTAACATTTTTGCTGTCTTCTTTTTCTTAGCTCTATTTTTCCTTTTAAAAGTTATTATAAACAGTCTTATTTTGTATGTGCTTTTAATTAGGTGCTTTATATTCTTCTCGGAAAGAGTCATGTTTCTAATAGATTCTTTAAAACAACAGTGCATGTTCATTTTTAAGTACTTTGAATTTATGCTTTTTGCTTCTGGAACCTTTTCTCGCTAACCCTAGTTAATTTTTCTTTCTCGTTTAGTCCTGGGTCAAGCTGAGTATCTCCACGTTTAGGTGCACAAATACTATTTTGTGAAGATCTTAAATTTGTGGTATAAGAACTTGAAGGAAATAGAACTGATTTGTTACTTCTAAAAGGTAAGCTTTTGATAAGTGAATATGAATTCCCTCTAAGAACTAGATGATATAAATCATTGCTGAACCCCAAACTAATGTTCATTATGTCCAGCTGTGATTATAACCTTTGACTGAAATGTGGGTTAAGGGGACATTTGGATCATTATCTTTTTTCCTGCTACCCGGTGTCTACTCTTTGATTTGAGGTAATGCTAGTTTCTGGGAAGAACGGCTACGAGATTTAAATCCTGCCATTAATTTTCTCATGTTATATTTGTGTACCTATAGGGCATGGTAGTAGTCAAGAATCAACTGAATTTTCCCTGACAGTTTTTATTCTTGTTGGTGTTAATTGTAATAACACCTGTGTAAAGCAGGCATCTGGATCTTCCAGGACCACAGATGCTTTCTTGATGAACCCCATGTCATGGTAACCCTTTCTCTGTCTAGAATTATTTTAATTATTTCATATACAGAACGTTATATTATATGAAAATCTATGGGCTGGGTGCGGTGGCTCACACCTGTAATCCCAGTAATTTAGGAGGCCGAGGCGGGCGGGTCACTTGAGGTCAGTTCGAGACCAGCCTGGCCAACATGGTGAAACCCCACCTCTAAAAATACAAAAATTAGTTGAGCATGGTGGTGGCACACACTTGTAGTCCCAGCTACTCAGGAGGCTGAGGCAGGAGAATCGCTTGAATCCAGGAGGCAGAGGTTGCAGTGAGCTGACATCCCACCACTGCACTGCAGCCTGGGTGACAGAGCAAGACTCCGTCTCAAAAAAAAAAAAACAAAAAAAAACCCTATAAAGACGTTCATCTGTAAGAACCTAGATACAGTGCCGCCACCATGGCTCTATGGCTTCTTTTAGCCTCATTTTGCCAACTTGTAACTATTAATATCTTCCATAAATGGTTATTGTTGTAATAAAAGAAAATCATTTTTAGAAATTTTGAAACACTATGTCTAGCTACATTCAATAATAATTGAATCAGAATAATAAATGTTTCGAAGCCCCTGGTGGTAGTTCACTTATTTTCCACTCTGTATAACAAAATTCTTGTGTAAAAGGTAAGGTTTTGGCTTGTGCTCTGAATCTTAGCACTTTACAGCAGGCAGAGCACAGCGTCCCCTTCATTCATCTTAGTTCCTTGTACTTGGGGTTTCCTGTGTGCTGTTTCCTGCCTGAATTTGATTCAACTTTGGATCTGTGTGCTTGTCCTTATAGAATTATATATGCAAGTGATACTACTGTGTTCTTAAACTGTCCTCTTTATTGGTGGAAGTACCAGTAAATAGAATCATTATATTCACTTACCTACCAGTCATCCTTCAGAACTAACTGTTAAAGTGCAAGTTGGTCTCCTTTCACTAGGAAATAAACTGCCTCCAGCCTTCTGCTTCAGCAGGTCTGCTTCTTGCACCTCAGGCTCCTCCTCCACCCCAGCCAGCTTCAGCCTCTCTCTTGTATTGGCTGCTTGTGTTTTTCTTCACCCTCTGGGAGTCCCCTGGGGTGTCCTCCTCTCCTTTGACGGCTTATGTAGTTTCTGCGCCCATTTAACCTCAGGGAATGATTTCTAAACCACATCCAAAGTGAAAAGTGGTAGATAATGGACCCTCCTATAAATGAGGCTGACCATATATTCTGGAAAACTCTCCTACTCTAAGCCCTTAGAAATACTGCAAAAGATACAGCAAACATCCGTTAAAAGTCTTTATCAAAAGAAAGTGAGAAAAATCCATAGGTGGGGAAAAAGAGAAAGAGGAGTGAGTGTTTTTGGGAGACAGAAGGTCTAAAACTGAATTGGGAAGTGAGCACTGAAGGCCGGGGCCTGGGACTCATTCAGGCCAGATGGAGACCAGGCTGGAAAACAAAACAAAAACATCCATCAGCAAATGGAGTTAAAAAGAAAAAGTCTCTTTTGAGACTGTTTGGCTTGGGATTTGAATTAATGCTACCTGCATGGTCTGGAAAACCCCAAGCTGAGAAACGAATCTAAATGCTTCTGAGTTGGAAGAGCCCAGGGCTGCTTGGCAGAAAGAAAGAAATGCAAATCCTTTCAAGAAGAATGCTACCCTCTACCCGCTGCTGAAGAGCTGGGGATATGCTGACGATAGAAACATTGCTAGACATATAAGGAAATGAGCCGCCGTGAATGAGAGTCAGCTTAAAGTCAGTGATGACGTGCCATCTGCTTGATTCGTTCATTCCTCACTTTTTAGCTGACCACCCATTATATACTGAGTGCTGTTCTCAGTGCTGTGGTTATAATGGCAAAACATTATGTGGAGAAATAGGTACTGAGCTGCTGACCAGAGGCTTTGGTACATTTGGCCTGCAGCCCTGCCCACTTCAGGGCTCTCAGTCAATGCTAGAAAACTGGTGCTTGGCTGGTCCCAGTTTGAAAACTGCTGATTATGTTAATTCCTGGATTTTACAAATGAAAAAACTGAGACCACAGTGGTTAAGTAACTTGCCCGAGGTGTGAGCCTCGGTTTCCTTGCCTGTGGAATGGGGATGATACCTACCTCACAGGGTTTCTGTGGCTATGAAAGGTTAACCAGCATGTTTTCTGCCTCAGATATGTCTATTCTTCCTTTGTCTTCGTCTTTAATGATCACAGATAGTACAAGGACCCAGTTCTCCTGCTTTTCGGGTTCAACACTTTTCTGTTGCTGGTATGATTCTCAAGGTCTTTGATTGTTCAAGCCCTACACAGAGCTTCACACCCTCACTCTTAATTGTTCTCTGATTATTTCATGTATGTGAATTTCCCCTTCCTAACAGATTGTGAACAGTTTACGTTCAGGGTCCAGATTTTGTATTTTTATGTTAGCTTTATGTTGTCTAGTCTTGGACTGGTCTGTTAGTAGATTTTTTGTTGTTGTTAAGCAACAATAAACAATTCTTTATAACAAATAATATGTTGTTTATTAACAATAAACAACATATTATTTGTTTATTGTTGCTGGATTAATCACAGTAGTTCCATTGTAATGAGGAAACAAGAATATTTCTGTCCAAAAAGTCATTATGCGAGAGTTTTGGCAACGTAAGGAAACACTTTTGCTGGCCATTTATGATGTTGACATCTGTATTCTGCCCCTTCAGTCTCTGACTGATGATTCCTACCTGAATTCCTGCTGTGGTTTGCCTTACAGTACAGGCCTGCTCATTCCTTCTGTACCAGGCCTGTTTGTGAGTACTGTTCACCACCCTGAGATTCTCTCTGTATGTTGGAAATCATTGAATGAATAGCTCACAGCCGCTTCCATGTAGTTGTAAGCACATGTATTAGGATTGGAAGTGCATCCATTTGTATGGGCACGGGTCCATTGTTAGCTTTGTTCCCCTGTCGCCCTGCCCTGCCCTGCCCTGATCTCTGGCCTAGATGGACAATGTGGGTGTGCTCTCTGTGTCTTCCCTGTCCATCTGTTGGCCGAGGGTCAGGCACTTCTGCTTACCATCAGAACCAAGAAGGAATCACTTGGAATTCATCCCTCCCATAGAACCCAACTGTGGCTGGGCTATAGCCAGGGCTCTGTTCGGTTGCTGGCTGCGTTTCAGCTCTCCATTTGAGTCCTTTCTATATGAAAAACATGAAAATGCCAGGGGATTATTTTTGCAAGTAAAAAAGATGGCAGCAGATGTGAAAACAGATTTACTCATCATGATGTAAATTGGTGTTTTGTTTTCATTTTAGTTTAACAATATATAGGTATTCATGAAAATATTTGGCTGTAAAAAATTAGGAAAATTACAAACTGCCATTATCTGTTGCAATTCATTCAATTCAGTTTTTTTTGGAAAGAACTTGAAATTGTAAGTTAAAAAATTTACTGAAATTTGTGCTAGTTAAGCTTTAAGAATTCTAAGTAATAATCCAAAAGACATTCTAAAATTCAGATTTATCAAAATCAATTGTACCTTTCTTTGTACAGATATAATAATTTTCTGGAATATGGAATGTGGTGGTAGAAGTAATGCAGAATTGTTTTGCCATAGCCTTTGTTTTCTCTCGCAATTATTTCTGTGTTTCTTCTGTTTTATAAAGGAAATGGATTGTGTTTAGTAATTTCCTCTGTACCTGTAACCACGAGAGTAAACTTTTTATTACATCTAAACTTGTTTATTCTTGTATACATGCTAGATCATAGACTAGTTGAAATTTTCTGTGTTACCATGGGTCTGTGAAAAGATCTTGTCTTACTGGTCTTGTATTCCTAGTAAATTTCAGTATGATGATATCACTTAAACACTGTAACTGTGGGACATTGGCAGGAGCTTGGGGATATTTTTAGCTACTTGGAACTCTTATTGTAATGGTATTTATTAGTAATTCAAGACAAATTTTATTGTTTAATTATGCTCTATGGGTTTATTGCCATCCAAGACTGCAGTGTTTTAGATGACTAGAATTTAGCTTTTTAAGAACCCCAAATTTTTATTTCAGCTCTTTCAGTGGAAAATTTTCTAAAATATGCTATTTCCTTCTTAATGAGAAGATAGTGAACATAATAGGACTTGTAATTTCCCACTTGAGTTCATCTCTTTATTCTTTTGTGAGGACGCACAGTAATGCTTTTGGAAGGGGTCAGCATGTTGGGCTTCTTCCTACATTTAATGGTCATTTGCCAACAGATATTTACTGAGTTCTTTTCTAGGTCTGGAGATTCAGTGATGAAGGCATTATTTCTTGCCCTCAGAAGGTTCATATTGTAGTAGGGAAGATAAACCAGGTAGTAAATCTTAGAACACAATGGGATGTTTACAGTGAAGAGGAGAGGCCAACCTGGAGTATATGGGTTTGAGATCCATACAGATCTGGGTTCAAATTACAGGGTGAATGGAGTTGTTAAGCTCCATCTAGCATTTGCGTGGCCAGACATATGCATGTGTAGTGTTTATTTCTGTCGTGGCAGTAAAAAGACTTCTCCTGTAGTTTATTGGCCTATAAAATAATATAATTTACGACATCATTGGAAAAGTATTTTTATTCCTATGTAGGGTCATTTGTTTCTAGAGTAGAACAGTTTTAACACCGTATACAAATAAAAGCACTTTTATTCAACTGAACATGCATTTATTGAATACGTAATATATACGTACATTTTGCTTGCTAGATGTCTTGATGAATAGACATTTAAAAGTCCTTACCCTTAAGTAATTCCCAAGTTAGCACGGATGATAAGGGCTCAAATACTTATAATATGGTGTAGAATTGAATGAGCAACTTAAGATAGAAACATTTGCTGTAGAAGACCATACTTACTAGGGAGGAACTGGCAAGGATTTATGGAATCGGTGATGTCGAAGCTGCATCATGAAAGATGGCTAAAGTTGGGGGAATTTGGGATGAGCATTGTACTTGGATGGATTAGCTTGGAGCTTAGTCCAGGCAGTAAATATATTCATACTTTGAAAGGAGAGTAATTTTTATAGAGGACCCTGGTGGAAGACAAGACTGGCACAATAGGTAGGTGTATGGCCCTTCTGTGAAGGCCCTTGAATGCCAGGCTGAGGAGGGTGTTCTTAGCCAGTGAATGTGACCAAGTGACTGTTTTTAAAGTGGCAAATGATACTATTGCAGCTGTCCTTTAGCCCACTGGCAAAACGGGTGAATATTAACTGAGGGGAGGTCATGTGGTCTACGGTGAAGAGCACTGAAATTATCAATTGGTTTGAATTCTGGCTTCAGCACTTAATATGCTGGGGGGACTTCAACTTCAGGCAAGTTGCTCAAAACCTTTCTGAGCCTCTATTTCCTCATAGAGAAAATGGGAATAATGATTCCTTTTATATGGCTGTCTTAAATGACATAACATTTATGAAATCACCTTTAATAATTTGCATGTCCAGTTTGTTTGGGATTTCAGCCTAGGTGGTTTGTTTTCTTTCTTTCCAATCTTCCTATACCTTATATTGATTTTTGTTGTCTTCTGTGGTAGCTCGGACCTCCAGTACTGTGTGGTAGTAGGGTTCTCATCTTTCTACTTTGTCTGGGATTTCTAGCACAGCATGATACAGACATCTTTATCTTAATTCTTAAATATGATGTTTGCTATAGATTGTAGGTAAATATCCTTTATCAGAAAAAGGAAATTCTCTTCCTAATTTGGAATCTAAAAAAAAAATGAGTGTTGAATTTTTTTTTTTTAAGAAGGAGTCTCACTCTGTCGCCCAGGCCGGAGTGCAGTGGCGTGATCTCGGCTCACTGCAAGCTCCGCCTCCCGGGTTCACGCCATTCTCCTGCCTCAGACTCCGGAGTAGCTGGGACTACAGGCACCCGCCACCACGCCCAGCTAATTTTTTGTATTTTTAGTAGAGACGGGGTTTCACCGTGTTAGCCAGGATGGTCTCGATCTCCTGACCTCGTGATCCACCCTCCTCGACCTCCCAAAGTGCTGGGATTACAGGCGTGAGCCACCGCGCCCAGCCATGAGTGTTGAATTTTAGGATACTTTTTTGCTTGTATTGCAATAATCTTTTTCCCTGCTCTTTACTCTTTTAGTATGATGAATTATATCTAATAGATTATATTTCTAATTAGTAGACAAACAGATTTTCTAATAACCTCTTAGAACTAGTTGTGGCTATTATCACTTTTTAAATATTCTGATTGAGTTTGTGTAATACTGCTGTAGGCTATTCCTGAATGTTTGGTAGAACTCGTTTGTAAACTATATGGCCTGATTTCTTTGTGGGATGATTTTAAACTACAGATTCATTTTCTTTAGTGGTTATAGAACAATTTAGACTGTCTTTCTTCTTGAGGTAGTTTTGTTAAATTGTGTTTCTTAGGAATTTACTCATTTCATATGTTATCTAATTTTATAACATTAAGTTGTTCATGGTATTATTTTATCTTAAGTTTCATGGTGTCTGTAGTTAGTTGTAGCCCTCTTTTCATTGTCAGTATTTATTTGTGCTGCTCTGTCTTTATCTATCTTGCCAGAGCTTTGTGTCTTTGATTACATTTTGCAAAGAATCAGTGTTTGGCTTTGTTTAGCTTGTCTAATTTTTTTTTCTTTTTATTTATTTAATTTCTGTTTTTACTATCTTCTTCCTTTACTCTCTTTTGGTTTATGCTGTACTTTTCTAACTTCTTTAAGTTGAATGTTTAGCCCCTTAATTTATAACATGTTTTCTTTTCTAACATAAGTTTTATAACATTTTATAACAGTTTCTTCTTTTATAACATAAGTTGTTGTTGTTGTTTTGTTTTGTTTTGTTTTTTGAGACAGCGTCTCATTTTGTGGTCCAGGCTGGAGTACGGTGGTGCAATCATGGCTTACTTCAGCCTTGACCTCCTGGGCTCAAGTGATCCTCCTACTTCAGCCTTCTGAGAAGCTGGGACCACAGGCATGTGCCACCATGCCTGGCTGATTTTTTAATTTTTTGTAGAGACGGGGTCTCACTGTGTTGCCCAGGATGGTCTTGAACTCCTAGGTTCAAGCAGTCCTCCCACCCTGGCCTCCTAAAGTGTTGGGATTGCACATGTAATCCACCATGCCCAGACTAACATAAGCATTTAAGGCAATGAATTTTCTTTCAAAATACCACCTTTGCTATAGCCAAGAAGTGTTTTGTTTTGTTTTGAGACAGGGTCTCACCCTGTCACTGGAGTGTAGTGGCGTGATTAATGGCTCACTGCAGCCCCCACCTCCTAGACTTAAGCCATCCTCCCACCTCAGTCTCTTGTGTAGCTGGGACCATAGGCGCATGCCACCATGCTGGCTAATTTTAAAATTTTTTGTAGAAACGGGGTCCCACTGTGTTGCCCTGGCTGATCTCGATCTCCTGGGCTCAAGCATCCACATCAGCATTTGTTATTTTCTGACTCTTTTAGTAATAGCCATTTTAACTGGGGTGAGAAGACATCTGCTTGTGGTTTTGATTTGCATTTCCCTGATGATAGTGATGTGGAGCACTTTTTCATGTACCTGCTCTCCATTTGTTGTCTCCTTTTGAGAAATGTCTTTTCAGATCCTTTGCCCATTTTCAAATCAGAATGTCTTTTGCTGTTGAGTTCCTTATATATTCTAGTTGTTAATCCTTTGTTGGATGAATAATTTTGCAAATGTTTTCTCCCATTCTGTGGATTATGTCTACTTCGTTGATTGTTTCCTTTGCTGTGCAGAAGCTTTGTACATTTTCATTTATTTTTCCTTTTGTATTGTTTTTCTCTTTCTAGGGGATTGATTTTGGTCTCCCCTGCTCCCACCTCCCTTCTGTTTTTACCCCTCCAGTGATTTAGAAGTTTTATACTTTATTTCTAGTTTTTTAGTGATTGCCCTTTAAATTTTACCATGCTTACCTAAGATAATTAAGTATAAGGTTGAGTATTTTAACTATCCTTCTAAAACAATATAAAGGCCTTAGAGTACTTTTGGCTCTGGTCATCCTTGTTTGATCAAATTGTCTTTTTTTTATTTTTTAGTTTTCTACCTTCCCCCCCACATTTGTCATAGACACAGTCTAGTGGTTAAGCACATAAACTAGAAACTGAAACCGGCAGCCTGGTGTGACACCCAGCTCTGCTGCCTACCGGATAGTGTCGGGCAAGCATTTAACCTGCCTGTGCCTCAATTTCCTCACCTATAAAATGTGGACAACAAAAGGATCTTTCTCATAAGGCTAAGGCTTTTCAATGAGAAATATAGTACCTATAAAGCATTAAGAGCTATACCTAGAAGTTGATAAGTACTGTGTATTAATATGAGTCTGCTGTTTCTGCTTTATTGTTCTGTTTTGAACAGACATTGTTTAATTTTACCTACATATTTAACAATTTCTTTTTTCGTTGTTTCTTAGACCTTCCTTCTGAGACATTTTCCTTCTACCTGAAGAATATTGTTTAGATGTTATATTGCGAGGTCAGTTGGCCTTAAATTTCAGCTGTTATTCTTTTGAAATGGTCTTCTTATTTCACTCTAATTCTTAAAAGACAATCTTTCTGGGAATATAATTGTGTTTTCTTTGAGTGCTTTGAAGATACTATTTCATTGATTTTGGCAGCCAGTGCCGCTGTTGAGATGTCTCTGTCATCTAATTGTCATTCTTTTGTAAGCACCTGTCTTTTCCTTTTGGCTACTTCTGAACTCTTCTCTTGGTGTTTTTATTGTGCACTTTTACTAAAGTGTGCCCAGGTGTGGATTTCTTCTTTATTTCTCCTGCGTGGCATATATTGTGCTGCTTCTTGTGTCTGTGCATTTTTTTTTATCAGTTTTGGCAAATTCTCAGTTGTTATGTCTTCAGATATTTCTTTTCCATTTTCTCTGTTCTGTCCCTTTAGAATTTTAATTAGATTTGTCCTTTTTTAATCTATCTTTCATTTCTCTTGATCTCTTATATTTCTATCTCCTTGTGTCTCTGTGCTATAAAAAAATTGGGTAATTTCTTGAGCTATTAGATTGAGTTCATTAATTCCTTTTTTAGCTGATGTCTTAATTGTAGACTGCATTTTATTGAAGGAATAGGTTTTTCATTTCTAAAAGATTTGGTTCTTTCTGGCATTTTAGATAGTGTTTTGCTTTCTAATTCCTTTAAACATTTCAAACCTAATTATTTAAAGTTCTGTTTATTTCAGTTTCTGAAGATTTGGGGATCTAAATTTGTTGTTTGTACTGAGAACTCATGGTGACTTATTTTGTGTGTTTAGTAATTTTTAATTGTAAACAGATTTTTGGTTGAACCTTATCTGGGGGAATCCTTATTTCCTAAATTGGGACAGTTTGCATGCAGCTAAGATTTGTATTTGCTCTGATATACAAGGATGTTAGAATTGTGGGACACTTTAGCCTGTGAGTCCTGCTGAATGTGTGTGACTCAGGTTCAGCCTCTGTACCTAGAGGTTGGACCAAAGTCTCGATATCTGATAGAATGACCAACTGTCTGGTTAGTCCAGGACTGAGGGGTTTCCTGGGATGTGGGACTTTCATTGCTAACACTGGGACAGTTCTGGGTAAACTGTGACTATTGGTCACCCTAATTCCGATTCCAGTGCTTGTTTTGTATCCGCTCTTGTGTCCCCTGTCAGATGACCCTGGCTTTCCCTTATGTTTATGTGTATGTGCCTTCCATAGAGATTTTCTATACTTTCCTGCAAGTCCAGCAATTAAAAATTACATTTGTTGTAATTTACTCAAGATCTAGTAGTGTGCAGAGGCCCTTTCAGAGCATTGTGGAAGTGTAACATGTAATTTTACTTTTTACTTCCTGAGAACGTCTTTTCATGTTGTTTTGTAGTCTTCTACCATATAATTATTAGTGGTTTTATAGTATTCTGTTTTATGTCTTTATCAACGTTTATTCAACCAATACCCTGTTTGGACATACTGATTATCTCATATTTTTCCCTTATACAAACGCTATAAGAAATCCTTATAGCCAAGTCTTTGCACAGTGTAAGATTATTTCCTTACGATAAACTTCCAGAAGTGGAATTGATGAATCAAAAGGTTTTGCAGCATTTTAAGTCTTTTTGAATTATATCACCAAAGTACTCTCTCATTTCTGTGTACCCTGTGTGACATGTGACACAGGCTATTATTTCTTTCAGACTTCGTTGCTTTGATAAATAAAATGCCCCCCTTTTTAATGAAGGCACCTGACTTTTGATACTGGTGAGCCCCAATATGGTACCACAGTATTTTAATATCTGAGTATCAGGTGTAGATTCACTCTAAGAAGTAGCTAACTTCCACTTTCTTTTAAACTACTAATCAAGCAGTTTGTCTGCAAGCTCCATTCCCTCCTCTCTCTGTACAGATAATTACATGTTCATATTCTCAGAATCGGCTATTGAAATCAGCCATATAAAGTAAATAGGGAGTAGCTTTCCTTGAAAATACACCTCTTTGTGATTCTCTGAACTTGGCAGTGGACCTGTGGCCCTTGTGGCTTTTGCTCACAGGGCTGAAATGCCCACAGCCTTGGGCTTCCAAGTGGCTGGTGTTGACCTGGGGTTCACACACAGAAACTCATTCAGTTCATGTTTATTGTTTCCCACTTCCCTAAACTGAGGCAATGTGCCATGCTCAGTACCTTATTGAACACTTAATTCAGTGCAGGGGTACTGGTGGGAATTGCAGGTAGCATAAAAATTGGAGTAAAACATAGCCTCTGTTTATGAGTATATGATTTAGGTAGGGATAATTAATTAAATAAAAAATTACCTCTACCACAGGCAGAAAGACCCTTGCTATATGAGTCTGCTTATGTGCTCAGTGCTTCTGTGTGCCACACCTGAAAGAGATGGTTGTGTTCTGAATAAGACAGAATTCTATAGACTCCACCTCTGTAAGTTACAATGCAAGTCAATGGGAAAATGATTTGAGACTACCACAGTTGTAGAAACACATCTTTTGAATAATCCTAGTCATACATTATTTATCTCACTAGCACGTTTTGAGAATTAGAGGTAGAAAATGATAACACAATAAATATATAAAATCATTGTTAAATCCCATTACCTTTGCAGGGATGTTAGTTTCTTCTGGATGTATGTGTTTCCCTGCGTTTGTCAATAGCCACATAACGAGTGGCTACTGAGAGTATTCCAGCCTTCAAAGGCAGGCTCTGAGTGCAAATTTGAACCAGCCTCGGGGCAGCCATTAAAACTAATTAGGAAACAAAACTACCTCATGCTCAGTGAATATTTGTAGGTTCTGGAAAATTCTGAAAGGAAAGGAGTGATTCTAATTAGAAGCAGGTCATCGGGCCAGGCGCAGTGGTTCACTCCTGTAATCCCAGCACTTTGGAAGACCGAGGCGGGTGGATCACCTGAGGTCAAGAGTTTGCAACCAGCCTGGACAACATGGTGAAACCCTTTCTCTACTAAAAATACAAACATTAGCTGGGCGTGGTGGTGGGCACCTGTAGTCCAGCTATTTGGGAGGCTGAGGCAGGAGAATCGCATGAACCTGGGAGGCAGAGATTGCAATGAGCCGAGACCGTGCCACTGCACTCCAGCCTGGGCGACAGAGCAAGACTCCATCTCAAAAAAAAAAATAAAAAAAAAAATAAATAAAGCAGGTTGTCATAGTTACTTTATTTAAAAAGAAATGCAGAGTTCAGGACCTGCTTCCATCTGTGGACAGAAGGGCAACGAAGGGAGGCCTGGGTGTGGAGAGGAGGAAAAGGGACAGAAAGCACAGGATCCCTGTTCCTAGGTAGTAGAGCTGTGAGGACGTCCTGTGTCCACATCCTCCATGGGTCCCTAAGGTAGCAGAGTCAGCCTCCCAGGAGGAGAAACTGGGATGTGTTTGATTCAAATCATTAAACAGGAAATTCTCCTCCTCCTCCTCTACTTCCTTCTCTTCCTCCTCCTTTCTTCCTCTTCCTTCTTCCTCTTTTTTCTTCTTTCTTCTTCTTCTTCTTTTTTTGAGACAGGGTCTGGCTCCTGTTTCCCAGGCCTGGAGCACAGTGGCGTGATCTCAGCTTACTGAAACCTCCACCTCCCAAGCTCAAGCCATCCTCCTACCTCAGTCTCCTGAGTAGCCGGGACTACAGTCATATGCCAGCATGCCTGGCTAATTTTTGTAGAGACTGGGTTTTGCTATGTTGCCCAGGTCCTGGGCTCAAGTGATCTGCCTGTCTTGGCCTCCCAAAGTGCTGGGATTACAGGCATGAGCCACCTTGCCTGGCTTCCTCTCTTTCTTTTCCTCAACCTCCAAGCAAACCTGTAGTCAAAAGCTGAAACATTAGGGTGTTTGCATATTTTATTGAAAATTTTCTACTGTATATTTTTGTCTTGTTTTGTGTTCATCTGACACGTGTATATTTTTTTCCAAATCTACTTTTCTGTTTAAGCACTGTCTTACATTGTTATCCTTTAGAAGAAATAGAACTTTGTTCTGAAGTTTTATATCCATTCATTACTGTTAATGTGCATTTTCTTTGTAGACACCTTAGCTTGAGAACTAAAATAGCATCTTTATGCTTTATTGGAATTTTCTAGATTGGGAGAGTACCCCTTATGGTTGGATACAATAATTTAAAAAAAACTTCCTTACTAATTTTTCTAAAAGTCCCCCAGGTCTGATGCCTAATGTAGTTCACAGCTTGTTAAACCTGTTTATATCAAGTTTCTCAAGTTAAAAAATTCTCAAATTAAAAAAAAAACAAAACTTACTTGTTGTGAGATATACATACAGAAGCATATGTTATAAAGTGTATATATGTAATAAAGAATAAAGTGAACACCCCGTAACTACCACCCAGGTAAAGAAATATGGCCAGCATTGGCCAGGCATGGTGGCTTTCGCCTGTAGTCCCAACACTTTGGGAGGCCAAGGTGGGCAGATCACAAGGTTGAGAGATCGAGACCATGCTGGCTAACACAGTGAAACTCCATCTCTACTAAAAAATACAAAAAAATTAGCCGGGCCTGGTGGCGGATGCCTGTAGTCCCAACTACTTGGGAGGCTGAGGCAGGAGAATGGCACGAACCTGGGAGGCAGAGCTTGCAGTGAACCAAGATTGCACCACTGCACTCCAGCCTGGGCAACAGAATGAGACTCCGTCTCAAAAGAAAAAAAGAAATATGGCCAGCATACAAGCAACACACCTTTGTGTGCCTCTCCCGGCTCACAATAGCCACCCCCCAAATAAGCAACATGCTGCTTTTTGTAATATTTTTTCTTTTTAATTTTTAGTCGTACCACCAATGTATTCTCTATTAACTGATAAAATTAGTTTGGCTTGTTTCTGAACTTCATATAATTGATTCATATTATAGGTATTCTTTCATAAGATCCTTCCTTCCCCTTCCTTTTTTCTCTTTTTCCTTTCCTTTTCTTATTTTCTCCTTCCTTTCTTTCCTTTCCCTTTCCCTTCCCATTCCTTTTTCTCTTCCCTTTTCCTCATGGCTCACTGTAGCCTCGATTTCCTGGGCTCAAGCAATCCTCCCATATTGGGGGAACCCGCCCCCAATATTTCAACGTAGGTTCTATTTTCCATAAGTGTCGGCCAGCTGAGAAATAAAGAGAGACAGTATAAAGAGAAGAATTTTACAGCTGGGCCGCCGGAGGTGACATCACATATTGGTAGGACTGTGATGCCTGCCTGAGCCTCAAACCAGCAAGTTTTTATTAAGGGTTTCAAAAGGGAAGGGGGTGTAAGAACAGGTAGTAGGTACAAAGATCACATGCTTCAAAGGGCAAAAAGCAGAACTACTGATAAGGGTCTAACAAAGATCACATGCTTCTGAGGGAACAGGACAAAGGGCAAAAGCAGAACTACTGATAAGTATCGGGGGAACCCACCCCCAATATTTCAACGTAGGTTCTTTCTATTTTCCCTAAGTGTCAGCCGGTCTGAGAAATAAAGAGAAAGAGTACAAAGAGAGGAATTTTACAGCTGGGCTGCCGGAGATGACATCACATATTGGTAGGTCCATGATGCCCCCTGAGCCTCAAAACCAACAAGTTTTTATTAGGGATTTCAAAAGGGGAGGGAGTGTATGAACAGGGAAAAGATTACATGCTTTAAGGGGCAAAAAAGCAGAGCAAAGATCACATGCTTCTGAGGAAACAGGACAAGGCAAAATCAGAAACTCCTGATAAGGGTCTGTGTTCAGCAGTGCACGTATTATCTTGATAAACATCTTAACAGAAAACAGGGTTCGAGAGCAGAGAACCAGTCTGACCTGAAATTTACCAGGGCTGGTGTTTCCCAATCCTAGTAAGCCTGAGGGTACTGCAGGAGACCAGAGTGTATCTCAGTCCTTTTCTCAACCGCATAGGACAGACACTCCCAGAGCGGCCGTTTATAGACCTCCCCCTAGGAATGCATTTCTTTTCCTAGGGTCTTAATATTTAATATTACTTGCTAGGAAAAGAATTTAGTGGTATCTCTCCTACTTGGCACGTCCATTTATAGGCTCTCTGCAAGAAGAAAAATATGGCTGTATTCTGCCTGACCCCGCAGGCAGTCAGACCTTATGGTTGTCTTGCATTGTTCCCTAAAATCGCTGTTATTCTGTTCTTTTTTAAGGTGCACTGATTTCATATTGTTCAAACACACATGTTTTACAATCAGTTTGTACAGTTAACGCAATCATCACAGGGTCCCGAGGTGATGTACATCCTCAGCTTACGAAGATAACGGGATTAAAAGATTAAAGTAAGACAGGCATAAGAAATTATGAGAGTATTATTAGGGAAGTGATAAATGTCCATGAAATCTTCACAGTTTATGTTCAGAGATTGCAGTAAAGACAGGCTTAAGAAATTATAAAAGTATTAATTTTAGGAACTGATATATGTCCACGAAATCTTCATAATTTATGTTCCTCTGCCACGGCTCCAGCTGGTCCCTCTGTTCGGGGTGCCTGACTTCCCACAACAGATAAGGGTCCAACAAAGATCACAAGGCAAAGGGCAAAAGCAGAACTACTGATAAGGTTCTATGTTTAGCGGTGCACGTATTATCTTGATAAACATCTTAAACAACAGAAAACAGGGTTTGAGAGCAGAGAACTGGTCTGACCACAAATTTACCAGGGCGGAGTTTTTTCCCACTCTAGTAAGCCTGAGGGTACTGTAGGAGACCAGGGCGTATCTCAGTCCTTATCTCAACCGCATAAGACAGACATTCCCAGAGCGGCCGTTTATAGACCTCCCCCTAGGAATGCAATTCTTTTCCTAGGGTCTTAATATGTAATATTCCTTGCTAGGAAAATAATTTAGCGATACCTCTCCTATTTGCACATCCATTTATAGGCTCTCTGCAAGAAGAAAAATATGGCTGTATTCTGCCTGACCCCGCAGGCAGTCAGACCTTATGGTTGTCTTCCCTTGTTCCCTAAAAATCGCTGTTATTCTGTTCTTTTTCAAGGTGCACTGATTTCATATTGTTCAAACACACATGTTTTACAATCAATTTGTACAGTTAACACAATTATCACAGTGGTCCTGAGGTGACGTACATCCTCAGCTTACAAAGATAACAGGATTAAGAGATTAAAGACAGGCATAAAAAATTATAAAAGTATTATTTGGGAACTGATAAATGTCCATATTAAAATGAAATCTTCACAATTTATGTTCCTCTGCCGCAGCTCCAGCCGGTCCCTCCGTTTGGGGTCCCTGACTTCCCGCAACATCTCTCCCTTTCTTTTTATATAAATGTGCCATGGCGATGAAGGCTTGTTCGTTCTCCCAGTTTTGACACAGGATTCTTTGACTGGTCTGGCACATGGTATCCAGATTCCTTCTTGATCTCGAACCAACATTATACTTTTCCTGGAGTCAAAACGGGAGTTAACACAAGTGTATAAATGACAATTAATGCATTGGACAGTTTGATTGTTCGTCCAAATTTTGATATTTTCCACTAACAGCATGTAAGGAGGCTTAACACAACTCTGTATAGGAGTAGTCAGGTTGGCGGTAAACAAAGCAGAATGTTTGAGTCTACGTTGATACTGAGGGAGAGGAGCGGCAGTGGCAATGCCCAATGTTCTGCGCCACAAAGAAGCAATCCTAGGTGCCCGGGGATGCCGAACAGGTAGAGGAGCATACCTGGGTCAAGAAGAATTATCATAATGCCAATTGGAGTCCCATAAAGGAGGATCAGCATCAAAAAGAGGGAAAAGGTTCAAAGGGGATTTATCATGGAGTTCAGAATCACGGATGCAAGGGGCGGTAGTGGGGACAACAGACAGAAACGTTTCCCCTTCCCATACTTGCAGTCTGGACATGGCAATAGCCAATTTCCAAAGTTCTGGGTGTTCTGGGCTCGGAATGGGGAGTATCCATACTAGGCCTCGGTCGGGGTGGGGGGTAATGCCCTTATCTTCCTGTTTTAAGGAAAAGGACGAGCTGAACCTCCTATGCCAAGTAGGATGATGATCCTCGTCATCCCAATAAGAAATATAAAATAAGTAGCCTCCAGGCATTCCCTTCTGCCAGAGGAGCAATCGTTTTTTAAATAGCCCTTTGGTGCCCAGTCTATTACTAAACCATATGAGTCATTTTTTTTAATACTACTGCATGTGAATTAACACAATCTTCCCAAATTAAAGTTTTAGATGGGCCCTCAAAATTTTTAGGACATGGTTTTCCTACAGGTTTATATTGAAGGTATGGGGTATCTCCTATTACTCCCCCTTTCATTTGTCTTAAAGGAGAAAGGGAGAGGCCGGAGACCAAATGTCCCCATTCCCTTGTGGCTGATCTCTCCAGAAGGTAAGCAGCCCAGACTTGAGTTTCTAGATGGATACAACCAGGTGCATGTCCAAAGCCCAGAGGAGGGCATTTATAACCCATAGTAACATTAAATGCAGTGCTTTCTTTTCCTGGTTGAGCAGGGCAATGTTCATCTGTAGCTCCAGGCAGCCACACACGATATCGTTAGCATAGATTTCCACAGGAGCATCCATCCAGGTGAGAGATTGAATAAGTGGGGGAAAAAGCACATAAGCCTAATAAGAATAATTTTGTGTAGCAGGTAAATCAGTTTGAGGGGAAACTGGTAAGACAAAGTGTAAGGGGGAGAATTATTAAATAAAACCTATTATAAGCGAGATCCAGTGCTAAAGGAGGAAGAGAAGAACAGGGGGATGTTATTTTCAGGCTAATAGAAATGGTGAGATTTTTAGGTTCTTAAGGAGAAAAAGGGAATTAGGAGAAGTGGGATTAGTTAGAGGGGTCTCTGTTGCCATTAGGGAGGATTGAACCACACCCATTTTAATTTGGCGTGCCAGTTTCTGAGGAGTCGGCACAGATCTCACCAGGTATGAAGGTGGTCTCTGACGCAGACGTCTCTTCCCTATGGTTTTTATTGTCAGTATTCACACGAAGTTTAAGTCTCCTAGTGGGCACCCAGACAGGGGATTGATGATCTCCTGGTGAAACACAAGCATACCCTCTTCCCCACGTTGTAATTGTTCCAGCTTCCCAGGTATTGGTCTGGGAGTTTTTCCCTAACACTGGCTTGCCTTCATTTAGGGAGAATTTTTTGCCTGTTCAGCTGCAGTCAGAGTATGTCTTTAGGAACATTTAGAAAGTTTAAAGTAAACAATGCTAAATGTAACTGGGAGTGGGGAGTGGTTAAATTATGCTTTTGTTGCTCAGACTGTTTGGACAATTGAGTTTTTAAAGTGCAATTGGCCTGTTCCGCCACAGCTTGTCCCTGAGGATTGTAAGTTACTCTGGTAATACGGGAAATTCCCCATTGTTGCATAAATAAATCAAAAGCCTTACTAACATATCCAGGGGCATTGTCTGTCTTTATTTGATATGGAAGCCCCATAACTGCAAAGCAAGAATACAGATGTCTTTTAATATTGGCTGTGCCTTCCCGTTTGGCAAGTAGCCCAAATAAAACCTGAAAAGGTGTCTACAGAAACATGTACATGTGAAATTCTGCCAAAGGAGCTAACATGAGTCACATCCATTTGCCATAAATCATTAGGAGTTAGGTCTCTGGGATTAATGCCAGGTTCCTGATTTGGAAGTACAAAAACTTGGCACTGAGGGCAGTGGTGGACAATAAGCTTAGCCTCCTTCCAGGTGAGAGCAAATTTATCTTTTAATCCAGCAGCATTGACATGAGTGAGATTATGGAACTCCTGAGCTTCTCGGATTGCAATAGAGACCAGTCGACCTTATCGTTACCAGCAGACATGGGTCCCAGTAGAGTGGTATGAGATCTAATATGTGTAATATAGAAAGGGTGTCTACGTTGGCGAACCGCCTGTTGTAACCTTGAAAATAAAGAAGCCAATTCAGAATTACCAATATGTTTGATAGTAGCGGTTTCTATATTTTTAGTGGCATGTACAACATAAGCAGAATCAGAGACAATATTTAAAGGTTTGGGGAAATCCTGTAAGGCAATAATTACAGCAATTAACTCTACCTTTTGAGCAGAGGTATAAGGGTTAGAAATAAGCTTGTCTGTAGGACCCACATAACCAGCATTTCTGTTACTGGAGCCATCAGTGAACACTGTAATGGCCTCAGGAATGGGCTGATCTTTGGTCAATCAAGTGACCACCCAAGAAGTCATTTTTATAAAATCAAACAGTTTTTTTTTTTTTGGATAATGATTGTCAACAACACTGATAAAATCAGCCAAGTGAATTTGCCACAGTATGGAATGTTGAAAAGTGGCCTGAACTTCGAGTTGATTTAAAGGAACCACAATTAAATTCGGATCAAATCTGGAAAATTTAAGTATTCTACACCGAGCTTGTCCAATTAGGGTGGCCATTTGGTCCAGATAAACAGACAAAGTTTTTGACACAGAATGAGGAAGAAAACACCACTCCACTAAGTCATTATGTTGAACTATTAGCCCAGTAGGGGAGTGCAATGAAGCGAAAACCAGAAGCTGAAAAGGCTGAGACGGCTGTACCCTAGACAACTGGGCAGTTTGGATTCTTTACTCCATGAATTCCAGTTCTAGTGAAGCCTCAGGGGTGAAAGTCCTGGGACTGCAGAGATTGGAATCTCCACACAGCATAGAAAACAAGTTAGATGGCGCGTATGTTGAAATGCCTAAAGTAGGTCTTAATTAATGTTATCTAAAAGTTTTTGGAATCATTTAAGGTTTTCAAAGAATCTCTCCTAATCTGAACCTTTTGAGGTTGAATATATTCTTTATTGAACACCATTCCTAAATATTGAACAGGAGTGGTCTGTTGAATTTTATCCTGAGCGATGTGTAATCCAGCCTCTTTAACACAATGGCTCAAAAATTGTTAACAGTCAATTCTTTATCAGTGGGGGCAGCGATTAATATATCATCAATATAATGAAGAATATAGGCCTGGGGAAATTGAGCTCAAAGTAGTGAAAGCACCTGTCCAACATAAAGCTGGCAGATGGTAGGGCTATTCAGCACTCCCTGAGGAAGTACTTTCCATTGATAACGAGCTGCAGGCTCCTGATTATTGATAGATGGTACAGTAAAAGCAAATTTTTCACAATTCGATTTATGTAAAGCAATATGAAAGAAATAGTCTTTAAGATCAGTAACTATGAGAGGCCAATTCTTAGGTATTAAAGCAGGGGCAGGCATCCTGGGTTGGACAGCTCCCATAGGTTTAATTACAGCATTAATGGCCCTTAAATCAGTTACCATCCTCCACTTGCCTGATTTCTTTTTTACTAGAAACACAGGAGACTTCCAGGGGGAGAGAGAAGGTTCCACATTTCCAAGTTGTAACTGTTTAGCAACCAATTGAGTTAAAGCCTCCAGTTTTTCTTGAGAGAGCGGCCGCTGCTCAATCCAAACAGGTGTTTCAGATTTTCATTGTAGGGAGGCATAGCAGTGGCTGTCATTGAAAAGGATGACCTAAACCAGCCCTCTTCTACAGTAACTTGAAGAGGTTTAGTAATTCCTTCATGTCTTGGACCGAGACCGAGTCCGGGAACAAACCCCATGTTTTCCATTATATTTTGACTGGGAGCACTGTAAGAGTTATGTGGAATATTAATTTCAGCCCCCCACTGTGTCAGCAAATCTCTACCCCAAATATTAGTGGAGATTGGCATGATATAAGGCTGAATTTTACCCTTTTGACCCTCAGGGCCAGTGCAAGGCAAGATAAATGTGCTCTGGTGAACTTCATCAGCTTTTCCAATCCCTGCTAGTTATATGTTAGTGGGATGTTTACGCCAGGAGGAAGGCCATAAATTAGAGGAAATAATAGAAACATCAGACCCAGTATCTAGTAGGCCCTTAAACTTTTTTCCTTGAATGTGTATGGTGCAGGTGGGCTGTTGTTCAGAAATTACATTAATCCAATAAGTGGCTTTTTCACTGTCAGAGCCCATCCTAGGACCCCGTGTCTTATCTCCTTTGTTTAAAACAATATTAGGTAGTAAAAGTAATTGAGCAATTGACTCACCAGCCAGAGTGGAAACAGGAATTTCAATGTAGGTTCTATTTTCCGTAAGTGTTGGCCGGCTGAGAAATAAAGGCAGCAGTATAAAGAGAGGAATTTTACAGCTGGGCCTCTGGGCATGACATCACATGTCGGTAGGACCGTGATGCCCGCCTGAGCCTCAAACCAGCAAGTTTTTATTAAGGATTTCAAAAGGGGAGGGGTTGTAAGAACAGGGAGTAGGTACAAAGATCACATGCTTCAAAGGGTAAAAAGCGTAACTACTAATAAGGGTCTAATAAAGATCACATGCTTCTCAGGGAACACGACAAAGGGCAAAAGCAGAACTACTGATAAGGGTCCAACAAAGATCACAAGGCAAAGGGCAAAAGCAGAACTACTGGTAAGGGTCTCTGTTGTTTTCAGTTTGGAGCTGATGTAAACCCTGCTGCTGTGAATACTTTGTATGTGAATACCTTATATCTACCTCCCCTTGAGCACTCACAGACAATGTGTTGTGGTGCACACACTCAGGAGTGGGAATGCTATTTGCAGGGTATTCACGTCTTCAGTAATACTAGTAATACCAAACTATTTTCCAGAGTGGTTGCATTCTTACAACTTGTAATGAATATGTTTCTGTTAAAATTGTGTAAGTGGAAAATATCTTCCCTAATTTATCTCCAGTCTCTAACGTTAATTCAAACGGTTTAGAAAACAAAACAAACCAAAAATGCTTTTTTACCTCTCCACTCCCGATGGTAAATTTTATCTGTGTTGGTGGAAAATAGGAATCAGATAACACAAAACAAATTGTAGTGAAAATAAGTTAGAAAGTAGAATATCTAATTGGGGACAAGAGAGGGAGAGAACACAGCACAGGGGCCTTGTGTATAATATTAATAATATTAATAGCTGTTTAATGAAGATTTATTGGTTGATTAATCTATGGGTATCTAACATACCTGATACACCATCCTGTCCCTAGGTTGAACTTTCCAAGCAAGTTCTGGGGCTCCTTCTTTGCCATTAGAACTGGATCGTATGGAAGCTAGAGTGGGAAGCATCTTATGTGTTTCATTACTGGCATCTAGAACCCTAGCAGGTCATTAATTCAATTAGACACATGTATTCTTTGGTTTGAGATTCTAATATCCTAAAAGCAGGTATGGGTTTTGTACTGATATACAGGAATGTTCTGAAAATAAGCTGTAATTATTAGAAACAGGTTTGTTTCTAATAATATCTGTGGAGGTCAGCATTATTTATTCTTAATGAAAACACCCAGGATTGCCCTTGGGCCTGTGTTAACAGTGCTCAGGGTAAAAAACATCATAATGACAAGCAGAGTAATATTTACTTTCAATCTGTTATTGAAAGACTTTATATGAATAGTTGCTTTTTAACCAACTTATCTCATTTTTTAAATTGAGGGGAAATATATATACCATTAAATTTACCAATTTTACCTTATTTTTTTTTTTGAGATGGGGTCTCACTCTGTCACCCAGGCTGAAGTACAGTGGTGTGATCATGGCCCGCTGTAGCCTTGAGTTCCCGGGCTCAAGCAATCCTCCCACCTCAGCCTTCCAAGTAGCTGGGACTACAGGTGTGCATCTCCATGTCTGGCTGATTTTTTTATTTTTTGTAACGACGGGGTCTTGCTATATTGTCCATGCTGGTCTGAAACTCCTAGGTTCAAGCCATCCTCCTGCCTCAGCCTCCCAATGTGTTGGGATTATGGGTGTGAGCCACTGTGCCCAGCCCATTTTTACCATTTTTAAAGTGTACAGTTCAGTGATATTAAAGTACATTCACATTATTTTGCAACCATTTGCCTTCAGAACTCTTTTCATCTTACAAAACTAAAACTCTATACCCATTAAACACTAACTCTTTATTTCCCCTCCCCTCAGCCCCTGGCACTCACCCTTCTACTTACTGTTTCTATGAATCCTACTGCTATCTACTCTTGGTCCCTTATATCACTGGAGTCATAAGGTATTGGTCTTTTTGTGACTGGCTTATTTCACCTAGCATAATGTCCTCAGAGTTCATCCGTTTGGTAGCATGTACCAGAATTACTCTCCCTTTTAAGGCTGAATGATATTTCATTCTGTGTGCGTGTGTGTGTGTGTGTGTGTGTGTGTGTGTGTGTGTGTGTACATATACCACATTTTGTTTACCCGTTCATCCATCAGTGGACATTTGGGTTGTTGCTGGGTGTGGTGGCTCACACCTGTAATTCCAGCCCTTTGGGAGGCTGAGGTGGGAAGATTGCCTGAGCCCAGGAGTTTGAGACCAGCCTGGGCAATATAATAAGACCCTGTCTGTACCAAAAATTAAAAAAAAAAAATTAGCTAGCCTGGTGGTACGCACCTGTAGTCTCAGCTATTTGGGAGGCTGAGGTGGGAGTATAGCTTGAGCCTAGGAGTTCAAGGCTGCAGTGAGTTGTGATCACGTCTCTGCACTCCAGCCCGAAAGACAGAGGGAAACCCTGTCTCAAAAAAAAAAAAAAAAGTCATTTATATTGGTTTCACCTTTTGGCTACTGTGAATCATGCCGCCATGAACATTGGCATACAAATATCTGTTCAAGTTTCTGCTTTCAATCTGATAGTTGCTTTTTAATCATTTTATACCAACCCCCCTTACTAGTGTTGATTTGACAATATTCTTATCATTCCTTGGAAACTTAATCAGTTTAGTTACCATTCTCGTTTTCTCATCTTTATGAGAAAAGGTAGAAAGAAAGGAAGTGAAATGCCCAACACCACTCATTTTTGTTAATGGTATTGATAAAATTGGCACCAGCCTTTCAGGAATTCGGATGCTTTGATTGTTCTTTTTTGTTGTTAGATTTTTGTATCCATTATGCATTTTGAATCATAATAAAGTGGAATTAAAAAAAACTGCCATATTTGTCTAGCATATATGGCGTTTTATGATTTTAAAGATATTTTTAAAGTTTGGTTAAAAACCTTAACAGTATATGTGAAATGGAACACTGTGCTTTTACTGTGGAAATTTATCCTATATACCTTAATAAAATAGTTATTTAAGATTTACATTTGGCTGGGTGCTGTAGCTCATGCCTTTAATCCCAGTACTTTGGGAGGCTGAGGCAGGCAGATCACTTGGGCCCAGGAGTTTTCGAGACTAACCTGGGCAACATTGGGAAACCCTGTCTCTTCAAAAAGTACAAAAAGTTAGCCGGGCATGGCGGCATGCGCCTGTAGTCCCAGCTCCTCAAGAGTCTGAGGTGGAAGGATTGCTTGAGCCTAGTTCGAGGGAGGTTGCAGTGAGCCAAGATTGCGCCACTGCACTGCAGTCTGGGTGAGAGTGAGACTCCTTTTCAAAATAAAGAAAGAAGGAAAGATAGATAGATTTACATTTTAGAGAGTTAGTATATGTCTGTGATTTTTGAACTTTATTGTTTCAGGGCTCCTTTATATTCATAAAAATTATTGAAGGTCCAAAGGAACTTTTGTTTTTGTGGTTATCTGTTGATATTTACCATATTAGAAATTAAAACTGGCTGGGTGCAGTGGCTGACACCTGTAATCCCAGCTACTTCAGGAGGCTGAGCAGGGGTGGATCACTTGAGCCTCGGAGTTCGAGACCAGCCTGGCTAACGTGGCGAAACCCTGTCTCTACACACAATACAAAAGTTAACTGGATGTGGTGGTGTGCACCTGTGGTCCTAGCTACTCAGGAGGCTGAGGTGGGAGGATTTTTTTGAGCCCACGAATTTGAGGCTGCAGTGAGCTGTGATCACACCACTGTACTCCAGCCTGGGCGACAGAGTGAGGCTGTGTCTCAAAAAAATAAAATAAAACTGATAAAAAATATTCCCTAATTTATTAAAAACATAAACCCATTAAATAAGTTATATATTTTTATGAAAACAACTGCTTGTCCTAAAACTAAAACATTTAATAATAAGAGTGTATTGTTTTATATTTTGGCAGCAATATCTAATGTCTGGCTTACTTAAAGATGGCTAGGTTCTCATATTTGCTTCTACATTTAATCTTGCAATATGTCGTTTTTGTTGAAGTATATGAAGAAAATTCAGCCTCACACACATATATAATTGGAAAAGAAAGGAGGATTTTAATAGTCTTCAGATAATCATGGATGTTTTTCTTTGATAACCACACTAAAATTCAACAAGTGGTAGTTTCTCAAAGGTTAGTTGCAATGTAGAATTTGAATGAAATATATCAGTGAATTTTTCATCCTTGGTTACATTAAAATTCATTTGTCTTCTTTGCACTTTTTTTGTTTTGTTTTGTTTTTGAGACGGAGTCTCACTGTCACCCAGACTAGAGTGCGGTGGTGTGATGTCGGCTCACTGCAACCTCCGCCTCCTGGGTTCAATTGATTGTCCTGCCTCAGCCTCCTGAGTAGCTGGGACTACGGGCACCTGCCACCACACCCAGCTAATTTTTGTATTTTTTAGTAGAGATGGGGTTTCACCATGTTGGCCAGCCCGGTCTCGAACTCCTAACCTCTGGTGACCCCCGCCTTGGCCTCCCAAAGTCTTGTACCTTGAATGGATCTTTTACTCAAGTATAATTTCTATCATCTTTGTTGGTCATTTGGAAAATATTGGTTTACCAAGTATGTGAGTCTTCCAAATATTGATATATAATGAAATATGGGATAAAAAATAAAAAAAATCACATTTATTAACATCACCCCCAGTTACGTGGGGAGCTCGCAAGCTCATAGTGATGAGTGCTGATTTTCGCAAACATCTAAATTTAACTTGAAAGCTCAGTTTTTCTTTTCTTTTTTTTTTCTTTTTTTATTTTTATTGATCATTCTTGGGTGTTTCTCACAGAGGGGGATTTGGCAGGGTCATGGGACAATAGTGGAGGGAAGGTCAGCAGATAAACAAGTGAACAAAGGTCTCTGGTTTTCCTAGGCAGAGGAACCTGCGGCCTTCCGCAGTGTTTGTGTCCCTGGGTACTTGAGATTAGGGAGTGGTGATGACTCTTAACGAGCATGCTGCCTTCAAGCATCTGTTTAACAAAGCACATCTTGCACCGCCCTTAATCCATTTAACCCTGAGTGGACACAGCACATGTTTCAGAGAGCACAGGGTTGGGGGTAAGGTCACAGATCAACAGGATCCCAAGGCCAAAGAATTTTTCTTAGTACAGAACAAAATGAAAAGTTTCCCATGTCTACTTCTTTCTACACAGACACGGCAACCATCCGATTTCTCAATCTTTTCCCCACCTTTCCCCCCTTTCTATTCCACAAAACCGCCATTGTCATCATGGCCCGTTCTCAATGAGCTGTTGGGTACACCTCCCAGACGGGGTGGCGGCCGGGCAGAGGGGCTCTTCACTTCCCAGTAGGGGTGGCCGGGCAGAGGTGCCCCTCACCTCCCGGACGGGGCGGCTGGTCGGGCGGGGGGCTGACCCCCCCACCTCCCTCTCGGACGGGGCGGCTGGCCGGGCAGAGGGGCTCCTCACTTCCCAGTAGGGGCGGCCGGGCAGAGGCGCCCCTCACCTCCTGGACGGGGCGGCTGGCCGGGCGGGGGGCTGACCCCCCCACCTCCCTCCCGGACGGGGCAGCTGGCCGGGCAGAGGGGCTCCTCACTTCCCAGTAGGGGCGGCCGGGCAGAGGCGCCCCTTACCTCCCGGACGGGGCGGCTGGCCGGGTGGGGGGCTGACCCCCCCACCTCCCTCCCGGACGGGGCGGCTGGCCGGGCGGGGGGCTGACCCACCCACCTCCCTCCCGGACGGGGCGGCTGGCCGGGCAGGGGGCTGACCCCCCCACCTCCCTCCCGGACAGGGCGGCTGGCCTGGCGGGGGCTGACCCCCACCTCCCTCCCGGACGGGGTGGCTGCCGGGCGGAGACGCTCCTCACTTCCCAGACGGTGTGGTTGCTGGGTGGAGGGGCTCCTCATTTCTCAGATGGGGCGGCTGCCGGGCAGAGGGGCTCCTCACTTCTCAGATGGGGTGGTTGCCAGGCGGAGGGTCTCCTCACTTCTCAGACGGGACGGCCGGGCAGAGACGCTCCTCACCTCCCAGACGGGGTCGCGGCCGGGCAGAGGCACTCCTCACATCCCAGACGGGGCGGCGGGGCAGAGGCGCTCCCCACATCTCAGACCATGGGCAGCCGGGCAGAGACGCTCCTCACTTCCTAGATGGGATGGCGGCCGGGCAGAGACGCTCCTCACTTTCCAGACTGGGCAGCCAGGCAGAGGGGCTCCTCACGTCCCAGACGATGGGCGGCCAGGCAGAGACGCTCCTCACTTCCCAGACGGGGTGGCGGCCGGGCAGAGGCTGCACTCTCGGCGCTTTGGGAGGCCAAGGCAGGCGGCTGGGAGATGGAGGTTGTAGCAAGCCGAGATCATGCCACTGCACTCCAGCCTGGGCACCATTGAGCACCGAGTGAACCAGACTCCGTCTGCAATCCCGGCACCTCGGGAGGCTGAGGCTGGCGGATCACTCGCGGTTAGGAGCTGGAGACCAGCCTGGCCAACACAGCGAAACCCCGTCTCCACCAAAAAAATACGAAAACCAGTCAGGCGTGGCGGCGCGCCTGCAATCGCAGGCACTCGGCAGGCCGAGGCAGGAGAATCAGGCAGGGAGGTTGCAGTGAGCCGAGATGGCAGAAGTACAGTCCAGCTTCGGCTTGGCATCAGAGGGAGACCGTGGGAAGAGAGGGAGAGGGAGACCGTGGGGAGAGGGAGAGGGGGAGGGGGAGGGGGAGAGGGAGAGGGAGCTCAGTTTTTATTTTCAACAACAAATTCTGTTAGTTGTTTTCCTTAAAGTGGCAGGCTTACTTTGTTCATGTTCAAGAAAATGTCGGCCAAATATCCCAGCTGGAACAACCATAATTTGTCATTCATACTTTTTAGTAAACTTGGGGTATTAGCCCATTTGCATTACTATAAGGAATACCTGAGACTGGGTAATTTATAAAGAAAATTGTTTTAATTGGCTCATGGCTCTGCAGGCTTTACAGGAAGCATGGTGCTGGCATCTGTTTCTGGTGAGGCCTCAGGAAGCTTACAAACATGGCAGAAGGTGACAAGGAACTAGCATGTCACATAGCTAGAGCGGGAGCAGCAAGAGAGGTGGGAGGTGCTACACTTTTTTTTTTTTTTTTTTTTTGAGACGGAGTTTTTCTCTTTCGCCCAGGCTGGAGTGCAGTGGTGCGATCTTGGCTCACCGCAACCTCTGCCTTTCGGTTTCAAGCAATTCTTCTGCCTCAGCCTCCTGAGTAGTTGGGATTACAGGTGCCCACCACCATGCTCAGGTAATTTTTGTATTTTTAGTAGAGACAGGGTTTCACCATGTTGGCCAGGCTGGTCTCGAACTCCTGGTGCTACATTCTTTTAAACAACCAGGTATCGTGAGAGTTCACTCACTGTCAGAAGACAGCACCAAGACATTCATGAGGGACTGCCCCCATGATCCAAACACCTCCCACCAGGCCCCACCTCTAACACTGGGGGTTACGTTTCAGCATGAGATTTGGAGGGGCCAAACATTCAAACCATGTCACATGGTATTCCATGAAAAAAGCAAGCAGTTCATTTTGCAACTTAAACTGTATAATACATGCTTTTTCCTGGGACTACCATGGTGCTTCAGTAGTCCACAGAAGTACTTTATGTGTACCTACTATTTTGGGACACAAGGGTATTAAAAACCATGTACTCAAGGGCTGATATTTAATAAAATTAATAATTTTTACTGCCGTATCAAAGATGTTCTTAAGTGAGGCTGGCTTTTTTTTTCTTTCTTTTTTTTAATCTATGACTACTGGTGCAGTTGGTACCTCTACCTTGATTAGTGTTAAAGAGCTTGCAGTTTGACCCACTGTTGATTTTGCACCATGGGTACAAATGTGAACACGGAAGAAGGCAAATTATGTCCTAGTATTATGATGAAAGTAGAGTCTTTTGCTGGGACTTGATGCTACAGGCCAGTAGTTCTCAAAGCCTGGTTCCCTGCCCAGCAGCATTAGCATCTCTTGGGAGCTTATTAGAAATGCGAACACCTGGGCCCTTCCCTTCCCTTTCAGTGTCCAGTTCCTGTGGGATGGGGCTGGGCCGCTTCAGCTGCCCCAGGAGACTGAGAGAGTCTGCTGAATTTGAGAAAGTCCACTCTGCTTTCTGGAAGGACTGGCGGGGCGGGAGGGCAGGGAGGATGAGTAAGTTAGGGACAGAGTGTTCTCGTGTTTGTAGAGGATGTGATGCAGCCTGGACTTCAGGCAGTAGGAAGAAGATGGAATGGATTTGCTAGAGACAGATTCTCTAGAACTTTATTGCTGGTAGACCACATAAAAGCTTAGAAAACAGCTGCGCTTTGCTCCGAGACCTGCCAGCCATCAGGGACGAATGAGTTTTAAAGGCCCTTACTGCTTTGTGTCTTGAGGGAATATCTTTTATTAATCGTGAAAAAATCAATCCAGATAACTTGCCTGAGTCATTTCAGTCTCCTTTTTGAGGATGCCTGCTTAAACAGCGACCATGGTCTCTGGAGGGGTAGAGTCTCACATTCGGAGTTCAGTCTCTTAGAAAGTACAGTTCAGTGTGGAAGAATGGCAGTTATGATTTCATTCAGATGTGCCCAGCTGCTGACAAATTGAATACAACGATCAGTGGCAGGCAGAACTCTCATTTGTTGTGTGTTGTCTTGAGTCTGGTGAGGTGTATCCTTTCACTATTGGATTTTACCATTCAGTGCAGTCAGTAGCTCCATTTGATGTAAGTGTAAAGATGGGTCTCTCATTTCAGTTTCAGCAATTATTCTTAAAACCTTTATTTTCCAGTGTTTTAAAGTTTTTAAATTTTATATCTTTTTTTTTTTTTAAACAGATTTGTAAGACTCCAGGGCCTCCCAGCCGTGAATAATCTGATGGTTCCTGAAATGACTGGGGAAGCAGACGCTTCGTATGGCAGTTGAAGAGTGTGTGTCTATGTGCATTTAAAACCTTCTTTCTGTACTTACACATTCACACGGGAAGACAGGCTCATTCTTGTGCACACTTGAGAGTTTTACAACTGATGAAAATTAATTTAAGAATCAGATGGAGCAACTTGACACCAGTGGGCTCAGGAGCCCGGGGAGAAAAATACATCACTAATGGCCAGTTTTCCATATGGTCTGCACGGGTAAAGAAAGTCTGCAAAAAGAAGAAAAAAAAATTTGCGCAGATTAAACCACAAAAATATTCTCCAGTTTAAAGAAGGAACTAAGTGAGAAGGTGACTGAGAAAGAAGTGTGATTTCAAACATTGCAGCGGCTCACACAGTGTTTGTTGCACTTTATTTTTCAGTGGGTTTGGTGATTTGGACGGATTAAAATTCTAGACTGAAAAGTAACTCCTACTGTGGTTATGGCTAGAGGAAAGCAAGTTCAAGTATGATGGGACAAGTTTGAATAATGAACTGATTCCTTTGCCTATCTTAATTAACTGTATTTGAGAAATTTTAATTTATTATTCCCCCCCTTTTTTCCTGCATCTATAGGATAATATTGTAAAATAGCAATTGAAACCAATAATTATTAAATAAATATCAAGGAAAATCCAAGCAAAGCTTTCTTTTTGTTGGACTAGTGGTGTGGTGTTTGGAGACAGTCTCTGAATGTGAACAGGAAAGCACCCATCAGCAAAACACTATCACTCTCTAGGGAGACAGCTGGGGGAATCTGACTCTGGCTTCTGCTTTTGTTTTAAGGGATTAACTTCCCTGTCAAGTCCAAGAAGACTTGCGTATGAGAAGATTACCTGATGGACTTAATTCTAAGATTAGCTTTTTTCATCAAGATGGAAAAAGATCTTTAGGAGCAGAAAAGGGGAGTGCTAACTGGGGGAGCGAGAAGGGAGACGAGCAAAAGAAACAAAATCTTGCCACGTGGCTCTGTTTTGTCAGCAAGAGGATTTAAGACTCACCCAGGGCAAACACTGGGACCACTGTAAGAGCGCTGGAACATTCTGCCTCTTGAGTGAAGGGGCCTTCTTTCTAGCCTCTATGGCACTGAGGGGTGCGCCGGCTGGTGGAGGAGCAGTCCGATGGAGCCCTGCGTTCCCCGGGGACACAGGGCCAAGCTTTGAGGTGGAAAGTTTCTGGTTCTGAAACAACAAGGAGAGAGTCTGTTTTTCTTCCTAAAATTTGGACTCTTGTCTGCACAAACTCTGGTCTGTTTTGCACGGTTTGTGTGCCTTTTTTTCCCTTTATGCAATCTTTTTCAGCTTTAGCAGCAGAAATTTGTCTAGTTCAGGAAACATGCTAGAGGGTGGCTTCAGAAGGAAGATGATCCTGTGTATTCTGTCTCTGCATCCGAACTTTTGAAGAGAAAAATTCGAGCTAGAGGGATTCTTAAAGCCTTAAGTTACTTGAAATCTATGTATTTGCAACCCTTTGTCTCTGGAATCATATTACACTAAACTGGAATCTCAGGCTGAATGAGAATAACCAAGTGGAGTAAAAAGAAGAAAACCGTTTCTTGATCACCACTTAATTAACGATGCTCTTTCTCCAAAGGATCAGCACGTTCTTCCTCTGAGAACTTGAAAATACAAATGGACCCCATGTTTTTTTAAGCATTACCTTTTCTTAGAAGACTGCCATCATCTTTTATAGAGGAATTTTTTCACTATGCATTCGGTGGATCTTTATAAAATACTGACCTTCTAATTAGATTCAGGTCAGTCTTAATTAAAGGGGGAAAAAAGCAACGCAAGCCAACCACAAAAACACATATACCAATGAAAGAAATTGGTTTAAATTTCACAGCATTAACATTACTTTTTAAGTAAAACAGTTCATTGAAGAAAGTATGTATGCAGCAGTGGAACATGGGCCTGTGCTTTGCAGCGATTCCAACATCCTGTGCCTGTCCTGGAAGGGGCGTGTCCCCAAGAGTGAGAAGGAGAAGCCTGTGTGCAGGAGACGCTACTATGAGGAAGGCTGGCTGGCCACGGGCAACGGGCGAGGAGTGGTTGGGGTGACTTTCACCTCTAGTCACTGTCGCAGGGACAGGAGTACTCCACAGAGGATAAATTTCAACCTCCGGGGCCACAATAGCGAGGTGAGCTGTGGTTTTGTTTCACTTTTTGGTCACTTCCAGTGGTGTTTTTGAGCCCCTTGTGGACTTGAAACTTCCTTCATTTCAGTTTCATAGACTTGCTGCCTAGTGAGACTTCCCATGCTGTGAGTTCTGTCTCTTATTCTCTGGCAGAAAAGATGCTAAGATGGACATAGTTCACAGTAGGCTGCGCCTCCCCAGGTGGGTCAGTTGTCCCTGGCACCCCTGCTGTCCTCTCCCTGCACTGTCTCTCTTAGAGGGTCCGGGCAGTGGGAAGACGCCCAGCAGTAGGGAGGCCAGGGCGCTTTCTAACCAGGGTGGGGGGTTAAATTAGATGATCCTAACCAACTTTTCGTGCTCCAAGTCTACATGGCAAAGAGTTACCCCCACCCCTGATGTCCCACTGACAGTGTGAAAAATGAAAGTGGTGCTGCCTTTACCTTGCACGGTTAACATCTACGTTCCTTTGGTGATGGCTTAACACTTGGCTTGTATGTTTTCGTACTTGGAGGTAAAGAAGTAGTTAATGGACAAAAACCATAGTTTTTCACATGTATAGGGTATATTATATTGAGGCTATTATGCCATATATTTGTACATGTAGATTCCTCTGGGCTTCTAAAATATAAGCAGTGGGATTATGAAATTCATGCAACCAACATTTATTGAGCAATACTTAAGTGTTAGGCATTGTGTTTTAAAGAAGAGCGTGATTGGTAATTTCTTGCAAAGTTTTGCTTGTATGGCACCTTCGCAATATTCATGTTTTACTCTTCACTAGCTTATTTGGGTATTTTTAAAATGAGGAATCCATGACTATTTCAGGCATCTTAAAAATGTCATTAAATGGTTATTAAATAGCTACTGTAAAGGAGCAGGAATTTTTTCAAGTATAGGTCTTAGTCCATTTGTGCTACTATAACAAAATATAGACAGGGTGGCTTATAAACAGTAGAAATTTATTTCTCACAGTTCGGGAGGCTGAAAGTCTCAAGATCCGGGGCTAGTATGGTAGAGTTTTTTATTTCTTCTTGGTGGAAAGAGGATGAGAGTGTCTCTGAGGCCTCTTTTATGAGGCCACTAATCCCATACATGAGGGCTCCATTCTCATGACTTAATCACCTCCTATAAAGACCCTACCTCTTATTACCATCACCTAGGGAGATTCACCATACAAATTTTGGGGGCACACAAACATTGAGATCATAGCAATATAAACATTCAGTAAGGTGCACTAAACTTAACTCTCGATTATTTTTATATGCAGTCACCCATGTAAGCGCCAACAATATCAAAATATAGAGCATTTCCAGCACCAGTTACGGGTACTTGGTGCTCCTTCCCAGATTTTACATTCTGTCTTAATCCATTCCTGCTGCTGAAACAAAATATCTTAGACTGGGTAATCCATAAACAACAGAAATTTATTGCTTACAGTTCTGAAGACTGGGAAGTCCAAGATCAAGATGTTAGCAGTTTCAGTGTCTGGTGAGGGCTCTCTCCTCCATAAATGGCACCTCGTTCCTGTGTCCTCACATGGTGGAAGGGGCAAGGGAAGCTTCCTTGGGCCTATCTTACAAGGGTAGGAATCCCATTTATGAGGGCAGAGCCCTCAAGACCTGATCACCTCCCAAAGGTCCCACCTCTTGATACCACCACATGGGGATTAGGTTTCAACATTGAATTTTGTGGGGATGGAAACATTCAGATCCTAGCACGCCCCTCCTGAGAAGTAACTCATATTCTGACTTCTGTCACTGCTTAATGGAAATGGAATCCTTCATTACATACTCTCTGTGTCTGGCTTCTTTCACTCAACGTGATGTCTGTGAGATTCATCCCTGTTGTGTATATTATTAGTTTGTTCTTTTTAACTGATGTGAATTGTCCACTGAAGGAAGATACCTGGTGTTTTTCTTCTCCTGTTCCTGGGTATTTGGATTGCTTCCAGTTTTTGGCTGTTGTGACTAATGCTGCTATGAACGTTTGTGTGCGTGTGGACCTGTGCATTCAGAAGGTGGAATTTCTAAGTCATAGTGTTGCATGTGTTTAGGTTTAGTAGAAATTGCTTGTTTTCCAAAGTGGTTGTACTATTTACACCTCATCATTAATGTATGAAAGTTTTAGTTGTAAGGCCAAGAGTATTTTGAGATTCATTTTTCCACTGAGTTTAATTTATGAAGAGGCTTCTTTTGAATTTGAACTTTTTCCATTAAAAACAGTGGTTTTATGCAAGAAATTATGTTTTACAAATAATATATTGGGCATATACATACAGGCATGCACACATTTCCCCCCCTCAACACACACACATATCTGTACCTTTGAAGTGGATACGCTTCAAATTTTTTTTTTTATTCTTATGTAACAAATCACCCCAGACTTGGTGGCTTAAAACGTTACCCATTTTTAGTCTCACAGTTCTGTAGTTCTGAAGCCCTGTTATGGTATGTCTGGGGCCTCTGCTTAGGTCTCCCAGGCTGGGAAACGTGGTACCAGCCAGGACTGCTAGCTCCTCTGAGGCTCAGGGCCTTCTTCCAAGCTCATTCAGGTTGTTGGCAGAAATCAGTTCCTTGTGGTTGTAGGACTGAGGACCTCCGGTCTTAGAGGCCCTCACTAGTCCCAGCCATGTGGCCCTCTCCACAGCATGCAGTTTGCTTCTTCAAGGCCAGGAGGAGAGTATCTGCTGTAGCTTCAAATCTTTCTGACTTTTCATGTCTGAAAAATGGCACCCCTGAGCCGGCCATGCTCACCTCCACTCCTGGGGAGGGGATTACACTGGGTGTGCATACCAGGGGGTGTGGTTTTAGAATTCTGCCTACCACAAAAGAGAAGATTCCAATTCACAGACAGTAGTCTGGCTGTCTCACTGCTGAAACTGTTTTGCATGATTTTTCCACATTGCATTTTTACTTTTTTGGTTTTTTTTGAAGGGTACCTGTGCACAACATGCAGGTTTGTTACATAGGTATACATGTGCCGTGTTGGTTTGCTGCACCCATTAACTCATCATTTACATTAGGTATTTCTTCTAATGCTATTCCTCCCCCTGCCCCCCACCCCACGACAGGCCCCCATATGTGATGTTCCCCGCCCTGTATCCAAGTGTTCTCATTGTTCAGTTCCCACCTATGAGTGAGAACATGCGGTGTTTGGTTTTCTGTCCTTGTGATAGTTTGCTGAGAATGATGGTTTCCAGCTTCATTCATGTCCCTGCAAAGGACATGAACTCATCCTTTTTTATGGCTGCATAGTATTCCATGGTGTATATGTGCCACATTTTCTTAATCCAGTCTATCACTGATGGACATTTCGGTTGGTTCCAAGTTTTTGCTATTGTGAATAGTGCCGCAATAAACATATGTGTGCATGTGTCTTTATAGTAGCATGATTTTGGGTATATACCCAGTAATGGGATGGCTGGATCAAATGGTATTTCTAGTTCTAGATCCTTGAGGAATCACCACACTGTCTTCCACAATGGTTGAACTAGTCTACACTCCCACCAACAGTGTAAAAGCGTTACTATTTCTCCACATCCTCTCCAGCACCTGTTGTTTCCTGACTTTTTAATGATCACCATTCTAACTGGTGTGAGATGGTATCTCATTGTGGTTTTGATTTGCATTTCTCTGATGACCAGTGATGATGAGCATTTTTTCATGTGTCTTTTGGCTGCATAAATGTCCCCTTTTGAGAAGTGTCTGTTCATATCCTTTGCCCACTTTTTGACGGGGTTGTTTGTTTCTTTCTTGTAAATTTGTTTAAGTTCTTTGTAGATTCTGGATATTAGCCCTTTGTCAGATAGGTAGATTGCAAAAATTTTCTCCCATTTTATAGGTTGCCTGTTCACTCTGATGCATTTTTACTTTTAGTTAATTTCTGTTCCTCATATTAGAATCTGTTCCATTTGGCTGGGCATGGTGGCACATGCTTGTAATCCCAGCACTTTGGGAAGCTGAGGCGGGAAGATTGCTTGAGCTTAGGAGTTCAAGACCAGCCTGGGTAACATAGTGAGACCCTGCCTCTACTCTCCCCCACCCACCGCAAAGAAAAGAATATGTTCCATTTACTGAATGCCTGTCAAGTAGAGTGACCAACTCTCCTAGCTTCCCAGGATGTGGGACTGTCGGTGTTAATACCTGGAAAATCCCAGGCAAACTGAGTTGGTCATCCTACTGCCCAGTGCCTGACGTGGTTTCAGACATCTTACCTCATGTTGTTTACAGCAGACTCATGGGAAGATATCATTATTTCCATTTTATAGGGAAGAAAACTCAGGCTTTAAAGATGTTAAATAACCTGCCTAAATTCATGCAGCTTGTATGGAGGAGAACTGGAATCTAGGGGTCTAACATTTTCCTACAACTTTATTTTCTTATAACTTGTGTTAAATACAAGTCTATAACTTGTGTTAAATACAAGTCCTCAATCCCTTATCCTCAATTGTTATATCTTTTTTTTTTATTTAATTTTTTCAGACAGAGCTTCGCTCTCTTCCCCAGGCTAGAATGCAGTGGCACAATCACCGCTCACCGTAGCCTCTGCCTCCTGGGTTTGAGTGATCTTCCCACCTCAGCCTGCCAAGTAGGTGGGACTACAGACATATGCCACAATGTTCAGCTAGTTACAAATTTTTTTTTTTTTTTTTTTTTTTTTTGGTAGAGACAGGGTTTTGCTGTGTTGCCCAGGCTGGTCTCAAACTCCTAAACTTAAGTGATCCGCCCACCTCAGCCTCCCAAAGTGCTGGGATTATAGGTGAGAGCCACTGTGCCCAGCTCACGATTGTTAAATCTAAGGGCTCTGAAAATAGCAAGTTTTTGTATAATTGTTTCAATGGCAAGACCTGGCCTGGACTGATGTGAAGCCGCTGGTTGTTGTTATTCCATCACTTCAGCTGCAGAAATACTGTGTTTTATTATGGGGGCTGCCCAGACCTGTGGGTGGCACTAGATAATTGACAGGAGCTCCCCTTGTAGGACTTTGCTAAGATTTAAAAAATTCTGAATTCAAAATACTTGTCTCTAAGGATTCTCAATCAGGGGTTGTGAACTTGTGTCTTCATTTAAGGGAATCATCAAAAGAAACCTTGGGTTTTATTTAATTTGGTTTTTCATTTCCGGGAAGGCTGACATTTAACTCATCTCTGCCCTTACCTTATCTTCACTCCCTTCTACCACAAGAAGCAGAAAAACCCTGTGTCCCCACCGGCCATCCCTTAAGAACACTACTGAAAGAACCATTGCAAGATTTTATTTCTGGCCACGGAACTAACTAAATTGAAGGGGTCAGATCTAGTCGTCTGCTAATTTCACAACTGAATTAAAAAGGAAAAAAATCTGAATGAAAGATAATTTATTTCACCCTCAGCTAGTATGTAAAATCTGTTTTATATTATGTAAGTATTTAACAAATCTTAACAGTTTTGGAATTATAAATGTATTCAGTTAGATAAATTGAATCTGAAATTAAATACTGTGATAAATGTTTGTCTAGTCTTTGAGACTAGTTTGCCTTTCTCACATTGTGTATTCTGTTGTTAGAAATTTGTGATAAAATGGTATTAGCTATATTTGCCAGAGTTAAACATATAGTAGAGGAATTCTTATCCTGTGATACATAGCTTCATATTTGGTAAATATGTTAATGGTTCTAATCAGATGGTGAAAATATATGCCCCCCTCAATCCTGAAAGCACCTTTCATAAAAAAGAACCACTACCACAAAAAATGAATGATCAGCCAAACCAACTTTTCCCAAAGCAACTTTCTATGGCATTTGGGGACGGAAACAAAATAATCCTTTTACCAGTATCTCTTTTGAAACCTTTGATTAGCAGTGTTATGGAAGAGGAATAGATGTGTGCTTACCTACTGAAACTCCAAGGGGGACTCTTCGTGGCTGGCTGAGAAGTGATGCTTTTTTAGAATTATTTGTCCTTTTACTGTGAAGCAGTAATTCAAGAAAGATGAGTTTTTCTTTTAAAAGAGTCCTCAATAGGTGGGCAGGTATGTCAGGCAAAATAATGATTATGTTCCATAATGAAGATTATTTCAGAAAATAATTACTTGGGAATGTTTTTATTCTATGAAACAATTTCTTACAGATATTGTAGATGTCGTGCAAATTAATCAAGGTTATTTGTACTGATTGTCATTTAACAGGAATTTTTTTTTTTTTTTTTTACACAGAGTCTCACTTTGTTGCCCAGGCTGGAGTGCAATGGCGTAATCTTGGCTCACTGCAACCTCCGCCCCCCAGGTTCAAGCCATTTTTCTGCCTCAGCCTCCTGAGTAGCTATGATTACAGGTGCCCGCCACCACACCCAGCTAATTTTTGTATTTTTAGTAGAAACGGGATTTTGCCATGTTGACCAGGCTGGTCTCAAACTCCTGGTCTCAGGTGATCCACCCGCCTCAGCCTCCCCAAGTGCTGGGATTACAGGCCTGAGCCACCATGCCCGGCTAACAGGATTTTTTTGACTTGAGAATAAGCAGGCAGCTATGTGTAGTTGCTGGAATTCGTTTTGTTATAAGGACACGACTACTGTAGCAATGGTCTCACCTGATTTCTTGGATTGGGTACATCTTCTCCGATATGCTTTCTCTGACCCTGCCCCTTGTCCCTGTTGTACACTTAACAGACTTCTCTGGTTGCGCTGATCATGCTTTATTATAGTTATCTGCTTGCCTCGTTTGGTAAAACTTATTGGAAGATCAATGTACCCTGTCATTCTTAACTTCCTCACCTCTCATTGTTTAGAATATCAATTATTTATTTATTTTTTAAAAAAATTTTCTTTAACTTTTTGGCCCACTTCAGTGTGCTTTCTTTCCTTATTCTACTGAAATGAACTCCTCAATGACCACACATTGCTAAACTCATAGGTTTTTGGTGTTTTGTTTTTGTTTTTAAACTGCACTTGATGTCTCAGTAGCATCAGTAGAATTGAAATGTTGTCCAGGACACCAGGCTCTCCTGGTTTTCCTGTTACTGTTCTGGCCTCTGCTTTCCGCCTTTCTTTGCTGGCTCTGCCTTTTTTTTGCCTCATCTTTAAATGTTAACGGGCACCAGGCATGCATATTTTTCTGTATTTCCTCTCTATGTTGGCTTTAAATCTCCCTACATGCTATGACTCCAGATACCTCTCTCTGTCTGCCATCTCCTTCTAGTTCCAGACTTCATTCTCCAACTTGATATATGAGATACAAAAGTGGACACCAGTCAGGCCTCGCAGACTATCGGTCACCCAGACAGAACTCATTTCCCCCCGCCCCTTGAACCTCAGATCAGTTCCATGCACTGTTTCCCCATTTTAGTAGATGGCCCAAGACCAGCCAGTCAGTTCAGCTCTCAACTCAGGAATCTCCCTGCGCTTCCCTTGTCCCCAAGTCTTGTTATTAGCAAGACCTCCCACTGTATCTGACTTCCAGATAATATCTGAAACGTGCTCACTTCACCACCATGCCTAGCATAAACCTCCTCATGAATCTCTTGACTTAAACTCTACTATTTTTCTATTGTGGAGGACTCAACAATCTATGTTAAGTTTTTTAAGTGTTTTAAAAATATTATAAAAATTTACTTCTAAAGTACTTTTCTTTTTCCTAAAAACATTGTATGACACATCTTAATTCCAAAAAGGATGGGAATTTCTAGATTGTAAGAATGGTCTCCCTTGCAGTTGAAAGACCCTCCTAGTACCATTGTCTGATTCACCCTCTCCTGAAGAAGGCCCAGAGCCACTGGGGACTGGCAAGCCAGGTTCTGTGTCCACCTCACTGTGCATAGTGATGACCAACTTTCTCAACATTCAGAGAGGTTAGAAAACCATTTTATTTTGAAACATTTATACAGTATTTAAAGTACTTAATCTGTACAACAGTTTTAGTGGGAAAAGTTGACTCATTTTGGATTAAAGCCAGCAAAAACTCACTGCAGCTCTTTTATCTCTCATAAATTCTACATAGAAAGTGACTTTTAGTAGATTTGTGACCAACTAAGGTATTATAATGGTGGATATAATGGAGGGCTGTTTTATTTCCTTTAGTGATGGCCTGTTCTTTTTTCCTTTCTGTTTCTGTTTTTCCATATCTTGATTCCAAGAAGTTCTAGCTTTACCTGTCCAAGTCATTCATTAGTTTACTCAAGTCAGTAGTAAGTTGAAAATAATAATTCTCTTCTATCAGAGTTGTAGAACCTGAGATAATATGTTTTTGGAAGGGCTGTGAAAATGGTATATAAGTGATGAAATAGTAAAGTACTCTATACCCTTTGTACTTAAAGTAATATACTTAAGTATATTACTTTCCAGTCCTTACAATACCACTTAGTACCTGGAAATTCAGTTACTGTTCTGACTCATGAGGTTAGAAACAGTGTTTGTTGATTTTTGTTCCTCAGTTTAGATTTGAAAACACATGCATTAATTTTTAGCAGGTATTTACTGCATCTCTGTTGTGTGCCAGGTGCTGCGTGTATTTGCCACTGTCGGGGGGCAAGAGAAGTCCCAGCTTATACCTCATGGAATCTACAGTCTAGCATGAGGGTGAAACGTGGACTTCGCCTTCCTCTATTTGCATTTCCATTAGGAAGAGAAAGCAAGCTTTCAATTGTTCAAAGAATGAAGAATGAGGCTTCCTAGAGATTGTGTGGTGAAGATGATCTTTGAGCAGGGCCTTGAGAAATACTTAGGATTTAGCACGTTTAGCGCGTGCTTTTCTCAGTGGTGCAAGAAGATTAAGCCACATTCTGGCTTTAGAGAGGCATTTCTGAGAGAGATGAAGGACACTTCGTTCCCCAGCCCCAACCTAAGCATGTGACTGTACTCACCTTGTCAGATGCTGTTGGAACCTGGCTGACAAGGACAAGGACCTATGCATTTTTTCCTGCCCTGGAACAAAATTGCCCTTGTTGGACAGGCAGTGATGTTCTGTGCGCCTTTTGACTATACTGTGAAATGTTTGTGGTTTGTAATGGGGATTTTATCCATCTGAGCATGCTACACTTTTTATTAGTTTCCATGGCAGATGGTTAAACTAGGGTGCTGCCTTAATAATTTGACTTATGCAGGTGCTCAGATATGACTGTTTCTGTGCTTAATGTATTCAGCATGTGGTTGTAGTCGTTTGAAAAGTTACATAATCATGTGTTCATGACCTGAGTTAGAGATAATTTATTAGTGACTCAGCATTAATGACTCATTTTATGCAACTCTTCTGGTAAAGCAACGTTTCTGTTCATGTGAGCATATTGTAGCATGCTAGGTGACCACATCTACCTTGTTTCCTTCCTAGGTAGTACCTTTAGGTATTCCATTACAGGAGGGCTGCCCCACTCCCGGAGGTGCATTGAATACAGAGAGGGCATAGTTGGTGGAGAAAAGCCCTCCTTGGGATCATCTGTAGCTGGTAATAGGGACTGAGAAGCTCAGGGCTACATCATGGTTGAATGTTTGTGGATTCAGTGATCTGCATGGCAGGTTTCAAAACCATATAATGTTAAGAGATATGAATTGCAAAACCACAACCCCTCAGACTTTTCTATACAGTAAGTCCTCAATATTGTTAAGTTCTTGGAAACTGCAGCTTTAGGTGAAACAACACTTAGTATGTAGTATATACGTAGGATCTTTTTTCTTGTTTATATCAGTTAGCTTAAGGTAAAATTGTTTTCATATGCAGGTCATTTTTGCTTAAAGTTCAGCTTCTAAGAACCTATCCTTGAAGTTAAGTGAGGACTTAACTGTACTTTTTGCAGGTAAATTTACTGTATTGAGCGAAATGAATAGTGGAAACTTACCTAGTTTTTTACCCTGGAAAGGAATTTAAACCGATAAAATGCACTTACTAGAATTTGATGGATGTTCCGCTTTTATCTGCCAGCTTTATCACGAAGGATTTCCTCAGTGGGAACACTGAGAGAAAGGATCTGCATAGTGGGACTGGAAGGGTGGAGTAGTGTGTGAATGAAGTCAACTAGGTATTTAAAAAATATTCTTACATTCCCTGACTATAGCCATAATTAACGTCATTGTCCTGGTGAGTCTGTCTTCTTTTTTTAGACCAAGTCTGAAGAAATGGGTGGCAGATGTTGTACTGTTCTGATGTACTGCAGAGTGCTATAGTAGGTCAGAGGATGAAGCACTGTGGACCAGTGTGGTCAGGGAAGCTTCCTGCAGAGTCAGGGAGTGAGCTGGACCTTAATGTTCATTTCGGTTCCGTAAACATTTGAGAGCTCGCTCTAGGCTAGACTCTGTTGGGCTTTGGCTCTACAGTGGTGAAAAAGGCACTGTTCCTGCCCAGATGGATCGTCTATCGTGTGTCAGAGGGTGGATATTGTTTGCATGGATATAATGTTGTCTTTGCTGATGACAATTGCCATATATATTCCTGTAATTTGTGTGTGTGTGCTATGTCCATTATTTAGTGTAGCCCTCATAACATCTCTCTACAGCTTTGTATTAATATCCTTGCTGTACAGTTGGGGAACCTGAGGTTCTGAGATGTTAATGAAATTGTCTGAGGTTGCAGAGCCAGATGATGGCAGATCTGAGATTTGAATTTGTGTCTGTGTGTTTTTCTATCTATAAGACACTGCTTCAAAAAGGTGAAGGGAAGAGGCACCCTTAAACAGAGTTATGAATGACTGTGGTATGTGTGTGTTTTGGACATGGAAGAGTTTGGTGAAGTGTTGGAGAGTAGTGGAAAGCAAAGCGGGATCGACAGGTGGGACCAGACATACATAGTCATGATTATAAACAATAGTAATAAATGTTTGTGGCATGAAAGAAGACAGTGCTTTTGGTTTGGGCCGTATTCCAAGACCATAAGAAGACTCTCATATTCAAATAGAATTGTCAAAAAATCAAATGTGAGTGTAAAAATTACCATTCAATTCAGTGCATTTTTTCACCAATGTGGATAACTGACAGTTGACAGCACTGGCTATGCTTAATCAATTATGGAAATAATAGTCTTAAAGAAGTAACAGACATCAGTCACCATGATACTATGATAATGTACACATGAGCCTAACTCTTAATTGTAGCCAGTTATTGTAAACTGAAGGGATTTGAGGAACAGCTTTTCTTTTTTTTTTTTTTTCAGACAGAGTCTTACTCTGTCTCCCAGGCTGGAGTGCAGTGGTTGAATCTCGGCTCACTGCAAGCTCTGCCTCTTGGGTTCATGCCATTCTCCTGCCTTAGCCTCCCGAGTAGCTGGGACTACAGGCACCTATCACCACGCCTGGCTAATTTTTTGTATTTTTAGTAGAGACGGGATTTCACCGTGTTAGCCAGGATGGTCTCAATCTCCTGACCTCGTGATCCGCCCGCCTCGGCCTCCCAAAGTACTGGGGTTCAGGCGTGAGCCACCGCGCCCAGCCGAGGAACAGCTCTTCTTTTAAATGTCTTAGGAATTCTTATTTTGAATAAGGAACCTTTCTAGCAAAGAGGCAGAAATGAAACTTTTGTTTTATATTTAGGTCAGAATTTCATTTCACCTAAACTGGCTTATCTATTTTTATACCAAAGCTCAGTAGTGTGAGTTAATTTTTTATCACTGTAATAGTTATACATATTGGTAAATGCTAAGAATGAAAAATAGCAATGTTCTAACTCCTGTCTCCCCCCCTCCCCCCACCTGTTGTCCTGGCCACTTAACAAAGGCTCATACTATTATTTTTTTGATGAATCAATTTTAGGATTTTGTCTATTGACTTCATTCCCATCTCGTTAGGCTGAGATTTAGCACTCTTCTCTTTCTTTCATAGTCACTCAACCCAGCTTTGCCCTATCATCTAATCATTCCAGTATTACTGTATCACAAATATTGGTTATTATTCAGTGTTTACACTGTTTAAACTATGTCACTGTTATTCCCAGATGAGCCAAGTAGGGTACTATGATTGTATTCCTTCATTATTTAACTCTTTTCTCCTCATGATAAAAATTTCCCCCCCAGTGGTTTAGTTTATCTATTGCAAAACCTTCCTACATCTTCAGCATAATTTCATACATTCAAACCAATTAGATGGTTTATCAGTTCATTTTTTTGTTTTGTTTTGTTTTTGTTTTTTTCCTGAACACCTCCATCTGAGAGTCCTTTGTCATCCTTCTGCTCTCTGGATTGGTTGCTCAGTGGGCCTGCTGCCCAGGTGATTTCCTGAACTTCCTTTTAATCATCATCTTGGGAATTCTCTTTGCCCCCTATTTATTCCACGTGTCGTTTATGGAATCTTGTATTTTTTTGGTTAAACTCCTTTTTGTTGGAACATAATCTCCAGTATCTTCCTAAGAAAGTATTTGTAAGTCATAAAGTATAAGACTTTTAATCTCTGTAAATGTCTTAATTGCTTTCACACTTGATAGTTTGGCTGGGTACAGATTTCTAGGTAGTTTTCTTCAGAATTTTGTCTTCACATTTCCAGAGTTTTTAGAAGCATAGTAGTTAAGAGCTCAGGCCCCGGAGCTAGACTCAGTTTACGTTCTAGCTCCATCACTTAGTAATGCCATGACTTTAAATATATTATCTAATTTATCTTTATAGTTGTCCCTTGACTATCATGGTTTGAACTTTGTGGATCCACTTATATGTGGAATTTTTTCAATCAAATACGGATCAAAAATACAGTATTTCTGGGATGCAAAATCCATGTTTATATGGAGAGGATTATACACAAAATCAACGTTTGTATGCTTAAGTTCTTGTGGGCTGACTGCGGGATTTGAGTATGTGAGAATTTGGGTATACGTGCACAGTCCTGCAACCATCCCCCTTGTGTACCAGACTGTACTATGATTTTCTCATTTGTGAAATGGATTTATAAATAATACTTTCCTCATATGGGATTTGTTGTAAGGATTCAGTGGTTACTATAGCCATTTAGAAAAGTGGCTGGCACATGATGAGGGCTTTTTAAAATTGACTATTATTACTCTAGGTCCTTTATATGTGACCTAAAAAACATTCAAAAGTTTATGCATGTGTTCTTTTTTCTAGGTATTCTGAAATTTCATAATGGTCTGCTTTAGTAACTTTTTTCACATTAACAAGGTAGAGACCCATTTGGTGGAAACGATGCTCTTCAGTTCCAGGGCTTTTTGGTTGTTGTTGCTTTAAGAATTACTACCCACCTGCATCCTGGATTTTCTCTGTTTTCTCTAACCTACTAGTCAGATGTTTAACCTCTTAGAATAACTTCCTGACTTTTAAAGTTTTACATGTTTGACTTTCTGAGAGATTTCCTTACTTTATTTTTTAAGCTTTTCTAATCAAAATTATTTCAGAGCCATGATGGTTTTCATTTCTAACATCTTGTTCTAATCTACTGGCTGCTCCAGTTCTTATTTTATGGGCACTATATTTTCTCATACTTCTGTGAGGATACAAATTATGGTTTTAAACAATTTTTTTTTTGTCCATGCATTAGATCTGCTTTTTTTGAGGTTTTTTAAAGAGGTGTGTGTGAGTGTGTATAGGGGTGGTTCTGTGTGAATCTCCCCACCACCACCCAGATTTTTTATAATTGAGGTCTTCTTTAAATGTCTAATGATCCTTGACTATTTATTCAAATGTAAGAGTAGTGCACCATGAATCTCTTTGGCATCTTTTGTGTGTGTATATGTAGGGGGTGTTTAGCTGGTGAGCTTTATTGTATTATATAATGACCTGGGGGAGAACCAGCTGTTTTCTTGGGACTGCCAAAGGTCAGCATCCAAGCAGCTTTCTCCGTAGTGGTCCAGTTTCTTTCAGTAAGAAACTTCCAGTCACACACCTGTGAATATACTCCTGTTGCCAGCATTCTCAGAGCTGGTGTGTGTGTGTGTGTGTGTGTGTGTGTGTGTGTGTGTGTGTGTGTGTGCGTGCGTGCTGGGAAAGAGGTAGACCTAGTTATATGAAAGTTGGAGGAGCAGGAGGAGGGAGGAGGAGGAGCTAATATTGAGTATTTATTTTGTACCAGACACCATCCTAAGTGCTATAGCTCACTCAGTCCTCACATCAGCTCTGCAGCTTTGCACCTGTTATTGTCATCTTTTTTTTTTAGATGAGGAAAGTGAGGTACAGAGACGTTAAGCAGCTTGCCCAAAGTAAGGCATCTCTGCTAATTGACAGAGCTGAAATTGAACTCAGGAACCTTCTAGATTCTATGTATTTGGCTTTTCACAACATCATTCTTGTTTTCAATCCTTGTCACTATCTCTGCTGTGCCTGAGATTCCCAAAACGAGTTGTGGCTAACCCAGAGAATAACCCTTCAGTGCCTGATGTTGGTGGAGAGAAGAATTGCCTAGTTACATCTCATATGGCTCAGCAGGGGAGAGGAGTGCCCTCATGGTTGCTAAATGTGGGAATGGAATGTGAGGCAGGAGGCAGGTGAGAGGTTAGTACAGGTGGGAGGTGTCCCCGCTGTGTGGGGAGGAGGGACTTTTGCCACTAGTTCTGTTACAGGTTTGGGATTCTAGGACACTGGACACTAATGTGCCTAATCTGTAAGGCATTCTAGACTCATCTTGTGCAGTTCATTCATCTTCCCGCCTCGCAAGCCAGCAGAGCCTGACTTGGGGCCTCAGCTCTGCATGGAGCTACCTATTGGGCCTTCAACAGCGAGGGTTTTAGTCAGAAACACAGAAATGAATCCTTAGTGCACTGGGCAGTGGGTATCGTATTTTACTAGGAGGTTTTTGTCTAGAAGTTGGTCATTTCTCTGGGATATGGTATAGGATGGGTGGGAAGGGTGCCACAAGGAAAAACGTGAGAATTTGTACTGTGCAACAGTTTGGTGTTTCCAGTTGGGTCCACCCACAACCTTGACTCCAAACTTCCAAAACAAACACACCTGTGCATTTTGCCCAAGATTCTATTGCTGGGTGTTTTTATTGTACCTTCTGGCAACCTACATTTGGTTTCTCTTCCTCATTGTTGCTGTTTTAGGGAATTCTTACTGACATGTGTTGTTTTTTCCACTTGGCCTAGTTAGATTTGGTCTACTAAAATACAGAGGAGATTGTCTCTATCTTAGGGACTTTTCTTTATCCTCCTAGTCAAGCTCACTTCCAGCCTTTCTTTTTCCTCCCTGTATATAATCCCTGTGACAACGTTTAAGGCAAAACCGAGATTTGTATGTTTTAGCTCTGTTCTTTCTTTGCTGATTAAATTTTTAGAGTTTAAGGAAGAGTTCATTAATCAGAACCTTAACATTAAAAAAAAAAAAGAAGAATAACCTCGAAAGCACCATCCTTGTCAGAAAGCTCTATTTTGTAAACTCCTTGGTAGCAGAAATAAATGTTTGATGGCTTTGTTTAAAAAGGCAGTATGAGTTAATGTTTAGGACTTGGGAAGTTAATTTTATACAGAAAACAAGAGTGTAAAAACCATCTATTGTCTCTCCATTCACTTGATGTTTTTCACAATTTTAGATTTTTTTTTAACCTCTTCAGGAAATTCGCTACAGATGGCATTTGTGACTAATTAGGGAATCACTTAAACATGACCAAAGAGCTTTTGCTTGTCTCCTAGGCCTTAAAATTTTGTTTTCCTTTAATTGTGCTTTGAAAAACCTAACTATTTTCAAGATTGAAAACACCTTAGGGGAGTCAGGCTCTGTAATGTAAACTGAAATTTTCCCCTAGTAATGAAACACTTGTTTAAGTGATCAATATCTCTTTTTTAAAAAAAGCATTATTATATTTTAAATCAGCATTGTGCAATAGAAACATAATATTAACCACATATGTAATATTAAATTTTAAATAGACACATTAAAAGTAAAAAGAAACAGGTGAAATTAATTTTTAATATACTTTAACTCAATATATCTAAAATATTTCAGCATGTAATCGATATACAAACTACTAATTTGATAACCGATACTCTTTTTTTTATACTAAGTCTTTGAAATCTGGCACATCTCAATTTGGATTAGCCACACTGGCAAGTGCCCAGTTGCCACATGTGGCTAGTAACTACCATATTGGACTGTAGTTTTAGACAAGTCTCTTTCTTTTTGAGGGCTGTGGCAGAGCTCCATGCTTACCCAGAGAACTTGTTAATGAATGTCCAATAGGACCTTGGATAAAAGGCATTTAAAAACCCTTTTATTTGGAAATAATTTCAAACTATAAAAATTGGAATAAAGTACAAAGAATACTCTTACTCAAATTCAGCTATGAACATTTTGCTTTATTCTGTCCTTTGCACTTCCATGTGCACGCATACACTCTCTCTCTTTCTCTCTCTTGTTATATATGTAAGGTGTTCTTCCCCCCTGGATCATTTGAGAGTGTACATCTTGGTCCTTTACTCTAAAATACTTCAATGTGTATTTCCTAAGAACAAGAACATAACCACTATAGTACAGTTAGTTATCAACTTCAGGAAATTTAACGTCAATTCAATACTTAAATTATTCTCCATACTCCACTTTTGTCAACTGATGAACTATCCTCTGTAGTTTTTCTTTATTCCTCTACACAGGATACAGTTTAGGACCACACACTGCATTTAGTTGTTAGGTATCTTTAGACCCCTGTAATCTGGAATAGCTCTTCAGTTTTTCCTTATGTTTTATGACATTGACCTTTTAGAAGAATGCTCCTCTTTCTTTTTAATAGAATGTTTGGTATTTTGTGTTTTTTTCCCTTTTTTCTTTTGTTTTTGTTATTAAATTTAGATTAATCATCCCAAGCCAGAATACTACATAAATGATGTGTCCTTTTCAGGGTGTCACATGTGGAGGTGCACAGTAGCTATCTGCCCCTCATTGGTGATGTTAATTTTGATCACCTGGCCAAAGTGCTGTCCATTTTCTCAACTGTGTTGTTATTGGTTTTTTTCCCCCTGTATTTGATAATCTGTTGAGAGATCACTTCAAAACCATGCAAATATCCTATTCCTTATCAGAATTTCTTCCCTAGATTTATGATCCATTGATGATTCTTCCATGAGCCAGTCTTTTCTATGATGGTTGCAAAAACGGTGATTTTCCAATTCCACTACTCCCTCCATGAGTACTGGCAGCTGACAGATGTAATCAAGAGCCTCCTGTTGTTCCCTATCCACCCACCTACCTATCTGTGAACTCTTGGATTTCCACTTTTTTCTTCAATGATTATTTCCTTTGATTATTTGGATTCAAATTTGGTCAAAGTGTCCCAGATTTGGCCAGCAGGAGCCCCTTTAGGTTGGCTCGTGTCCTTTTGGTGCACCCCAGTCACTGGCAGTGGTAGGTGGGCACCTCTTTATTTATTTTCTAGCTTAACAAGATGTTTCAGCATCATCTTGTACTTACCCTGCCCTGGGTCTGGAAGCAGTAATTTCTCTGAGGAATGCTGTTTCAATGGGGAATGGTATTAGAAACCAACATCTGGCCTCTAGAGGTGTTCATTGTTACCGGAATATCTTTGCTGCTGGACTCGTTCAACAGACACACACACACACACACACACACACACACACACACACACATACGTATATATATACGTGTATATACACGTGTATATATACACGTATATATACACACACACATACCTACATACACACATTCAGTAGCAGTCTGGGTTCAATTAGGAGACGGAAACCACACAGTGGGTTAAACACAGGAAGTTTAATATAAAGAATAATTAACTGCCGGGCACGGTGGCTCACGCCTGTAATCCCAGCACTTTGGGAGGCTGAGGTGGGCGGATTACCCGAGGTCAGGAATTCGACACCAGCCTGGCCAACATGGTGAAACCCCATCTCTACTAAAAATACAAAAATTAGCCAGGCATCGTGGCACACACCTATAATCCTAGCTACTCAGGAGGCTGAGACAGGAGAATCATTTGAACCCGGGAGGCGGAGGTTGCAGTTAGCCGAGATCACGCCACTGCACTTCAGCCTGGTCGACAGAGTAAGACTCTGTCAAAAAAAAAAAAAAAAAAAAAAAAAAAAAAAATATATATATATATATATATATATATATAAATTGAAAAGAGAGAAACAGTAAGATATAAAGAGACTCTGTATAGTACCCTAGGGCCGAAGGAGATGATGCAAGGGAGGATAAGCTGGGAAGGGGTTCAGATCTTATTGGAGAAGGTGTGGTTCAGCCTAGCACATAGCACGGAAGTTTGTTAGCTTAGTTAGACTAGAGCTGGTCTAGAGTTGTTGGGCAATCAGTAAATAACCCTCTGGAGTGCAGGCAAGGGAGGAGGCTGTCCCTCCATGGTAGTGGTGGAGTGTGGGCAGAGGGCCTTCAAAGTGAATGGCCCATGCAGGGGATGGGATGGAGAGGGACTTGCAGAAGGAGTGACTACTCACTTTTTGACCCTCAGGCCATTGGCAGCTGGGAGTATGGACAAGTGGCAGGATCACTGGTTTCTATGTTGAGGAGCTATAGAAAGATTGTCACTAGGCCAAAGCTGTAAGGTCATAGGACTGTGTGCTGGGCTATTGGATAGGCGGACTTTCCTGGATTTTCTCATACCTTCATGGCATCTTCCACTCTGAAGAGCCCTGGAAGTTTCAGGAACTATTTTCATCTTGTGGTGTCCCTCTAGTCCTTTTTCTGGAGAAAGCTTAACCTTGTGCTCACTTTAAAGGAGGAATGTTTAAAGGAATTCTATTGTTTATTATAGAGCACGTATTGATGGGTTGGGAGCTGAGAGGCAATAAACTGACATACACACACACGTACATACATGCATATATGTATACACATTACATATATGTGTTTTAGAAATCATGAATTTACACCAGTATTTCCAATTCCAGACCACCCCTATACCTTCCCCCATTTCGTTTTTGTAATCCCTTCTTCCATAGTTTGCTTAATGCTATAATACATCTAAAAATAATTTCAGGTTTACTACACCTGTACTAATATAAAAACCAAACCTACCAAAAGGATGTCATGGACTGAATGTTTGTATCCTCCAAAAATTCATATGTTGAAGCCCTAACCTCCAATGTGATGATGTTTGGAGAAGGGGCCTCTAAGAAGTAATTAACATTAGATGAAGTCATGAGGGTGGGGCCCTCGTGATGAGATTAGTGCCCTAAAAGAAGACACATCGGAGAGCTTGCGCGAAGAAGAGGTCATGTGAGCTCACAGTGAGATGGTGGCCACCTATAAATGAGAAGAGCTCTCAGGGTGAAACCTACCTTGCCAGCACCTTAACCTTGGACTTTCTAGCCTCCAGAACTGTGAGAAATAAATTTCTGTTGTTTGAATTACCCAGTCTATGGTATTTGATATGGCAGCACAAGCAGGCTAATACAGAAAAGTTCAGAATTTGCTTGCAGTTCTTCTTCACCTTCCCTCTGCCCACCTTCCCAAACTAGCTATGTACAGTTGGCCTCTGTGTGAGTCTACTTATTCTCAGATTTTCAATAATATATTGGAACAATTTTTAGAGATTTGTGACAATTTGAAAAAATTCACAGATGAGCTGCATAGCCTAGAAATATTGAAAAAATTAAGAAAACGTGTCATGAATGCATAAAATAAATGCAGGTACTGTTCTATTTTGTCATTTACTGGCTACCCTAAAATATATACAAATTTATTATAAAATGTTAAAATTTATCAAAACTTACACGCACAAACAGACCACACGTGGTGCTACTTTCAGTCAAGGGAAATACAGACAAACATAAAGATGTAGTAGTATTAAATTGTAACTGCATAAACTTAACTGTAGTATGTACTACACTACTGTAATAATTTTGTAGCCTCGTCCTGTTGCTATTGCAATGAGCTCCAGTGTCGCGAGTATCCGCTTAAAATATTGTGTGATGCTTGTCATCCCAGTGTGAGCAGTTTGTCCCCAGTGAATTGCGCATCACAGTAAAAAGTGCCCTCTCACTGTTCTCATGTATTTTTCCTCCTGTTTCGTGCAATACTGTAAACCTTGAATAACCACCATGAGATCCATATGAAATGGCACTAGTGATGCTGGAAGTGCTCCCAAGAAGCAGAGAAAAGTCATGACATTACAAGAAAAAGTTGAATTACTTGATAGGTGCTGGAGACAGGTCTGCAGCTGGGGTGGCTGCCATTTCAGACAGATAGTTCATCTTGTAAACAGGAAGTGTAAACTTGCCATATGGATAAATACAGTACAGTACGGTGAATGTATTTTCTCTTCCTTATGATTTTCTTAATAATGTTTTCTTTTTCTAGCTTTATTGTAAGAATATGGTATATAATACATAAAACAAAATACATGTTAATTTACTGTTTATGTTATTGGTAAGGCTACTGATCAGCAATAGACATGAGTAAATAAGTTTTAGGGGAGGTAAAAGTTATATGCAGATCTTCAACTGTGTGGGGGTTGGCACCCCTAACCCCCGCATTGTTCAGGGGTTAGCTGTAGTTAAATACGGAAGCTCCTAAGTTGCTTATATTGATTACCCTCTACTCCCCTTTCAGTGTGTGCAGTGGTCTGAATGTGTCCTCCAAAATTCACATGTTGAAACTTTACAGCCAATGTCATCATATTTAGAGGTGAGGCCTTAAAGAGGTGATTAAGTCATGAGGGTGAAACCCTCAAGGATGGGATTAGACTCCTTATAAAAGGGCTTGAGGAAGGGCTTTATTTCTCTGTTCTGCTCTTCTGCTGTGTGAGGACACCTAGAAGGTGGCATTTATGAGGAACAGGCCTTCACCAGACACCATCTCTGCTGACACCTTGATCTTGGACTTCCTAACCTCCACAACTGTGAAAAAATAAATTTCTGTTCTTGGTCAGGTACAGTGGCTCAGGCCTGTAGTCCCAGGGCTTTGGGAGGTTGAGGCGGGCGGATCACAAGGTCAGGAGTTCGAGACCAGCCTGGCCAACATGGTGAAACCCGGTCTCTACTAAAAATACAAAAAATTAGCAGAGTGTGGTGGCAGGTGCCTGTAATCTCAGCTACTTGGGAGGCTGAGGAAGGAGAATCACTTGAACCCGGGAGGCAGAGGTTGCAGTGAGCTGAGATCATGCCACTGCACTCCAGCCTGGTGAACAGAGCGAGACTGTCTCAAAAAAAAAAAAAAAAAAATTTTTGTTCTTTATAAGTACCCAGTCTCAGGTACTTTGTTATAGTGACACATATACTTAAGTAATTATACTTAATTACTTAATGTGGTTAAGTAATTCATTTAAAATACAGTTGTTTTTGTTTCAGTTTGCTTTTAGTTTTTTGATCTTTTCCTCTTCATTCTTATGATTTTATGTTTTGAATATATAGAACATTAACATGCATTTGAAAGTCAAAACCACATAAAAAGGTATATCCAGAGAAGTAACATTACATTCATCCCTCCCACTTCATCCACCCATCTTGTAGATACTAACTTCATTATTTTCTGATTTATTTTGTTCCTTCTGTAAAAATAGGCAGATGTGTGTGGTGTATATTTATGTTTTCTTATTTTCTTCTCTGCCTTTGACAAAAGGACTGTTTTTGCACTTCGCTGTTTTCGTTTAACATCTGGAGATCATTCCATGTCAGTTCATGTGCATCTTCCTCATTTCTTTTTTACAGCACATGGTGTGCCATTATGTATACACATATACTACTGTATATCGTAGTACTATATTTTACCCAACAACTCTCCAAGTTTGAATGCTTAGGGAGTTCCTGTATTTTGCAATTACAGATAATGCTGCAGTGAATAATTTGTGTGTATGTTGGACGTGTATCTTCAGGGTAAATTCTTAGAAGTGAAATCGCTGCATTGTAATGTGAAGACATATATAGTTTTCTTAGATATTGCCAAACTTCTTTCCATAATGATGAACCATTTTGCATTCCCAGCAGCAATTTATGAGAATACCATTTTCTCCCACAGCTTCACCCATAGTATATTACCAAGCTTTTACATTGTTGCCAATATGGTAGAAGAAAATGGCACTGCAGTGTGGTTTTAATTTGGATATCTCCTATTATGAGTAAGGTTGAACATATTTTCAAACATTTAAGGGCCATTTTAAAAATCTTGTGAATTGTCTATATCTTTCATCTATTTTTCTATAGAAATTTTGGTCACCTTCAAATTGTAAAATGTCTATGTATATTGGAGACAGTAATATTAGTCTTTTATCTGTGGTGTATATTACAAATGTCTTCTCTCAATTTGTTAACTTTGACTTTGCTTAGTGTATTTTTTGCCATGCAGAAGGTTTAAAACTTTTTTTTATCTAGTCAAATTTGTCAGTCTCTTATTGCGCTGGATTTTGAGTCATAATTGGAAAGTCTTTTTCCACATGTAAGTGATAGAGGAATTCACCCATATTTTCTTGTAGCTTAGAAAAAGACTCAGAAAAAAGAATACTATTGGTAAGAAAATCAACATGTATTTTGTCCTCATTAGGGGATTTTTCATTCATGACTTCCTTATAGCAGGACAAATACTAATCAAGCACTTTGAGACCTGCCAGGCAATTTGTTTTTAAATGCCTTCTAAAAATAGATAAAGAACAGAGAGATAACTAACTATTCAGGTAAAGTTAGAATTTCACTTAGGGACAAAAATGGGAATATAAGTCATTTTTTTAAAACTTTGATTTTTTGGTCTATTTTGAATTAGTCCCTATGACCAATTCACTTCTTTTTTTTAAGGTTCTTGCCTGTTAAACGGGTCATTTTGTTTAAGATGTTTTCTTCCTGATTTCATAGAGCATTTTGCTCAGAATAGAATCCAAGTCTCACTAGTGTCTTAGAGCTCTGTTCATTTTATTGCAGGGCTGAAGTTATTTGGAAAGGAAAGGTTATGAGCTGTAAAATTTTCTTTCTTTCTTTTTCTTTCTTTCTTTCTTTCTTTCTTTCTTTCTTTCTTTTCTTTCTTTCTGTCTCTCTCTCTCTCTTTTTTTCTCTCTCTCTCTTTCTTTCTCTTTTTTTTTTTTTTTTTTTTTTGAGACAGAGTCTTTCTCTGTTGCCTAGGCTGGAGTGCAGTGGTTCAATCATGGCTCACTGCAGAGCATTAATTTCCTGGGCTCAGGTGATTCTTCCACTTCAGCTTAGTAGCTGGGCTACAGGTGCACACCACCATGCCCAGCTATTTTTTTGTATTTTTTGTAGAGATGGGGTTTCACCATGTTGCCCAAACTGGTCTTGAACTCCTGGGCTCAAGAAATCCACCTGCCTTGGCCTCTCAAAGTGCTGGGATTACAGGCATGAGCCACCACTCCCGTTCAGCTGTAAAAATTTTTAGCCTTTTCTCCCTGATACAGACTGAAGCAATGGATAGTGAATGCATCTGTGTGTGAAACAGGTGGAGGACTAAAAATAGGTCCTCAAATACCTTTCTGCCATCAGTGTCACTAAAGCCCTGGCACTGATTCCCTTCCTGGAATTAAAGTGAGTACAAGAAGAAATACATGATTTACCTTTTATTTTAAGGCACCAAAGCCAAGTCCCTGCACCCACAGTGTGCAAACAAATAGAAACAACAAAGTGTCAAGTGCACTGGATACCAATCAATCGACTTATCTGACCAATACTCCTAAAGACCAAGAGTATTCAAAAATTATTTCTAGAAAGAAGTGAATGTTTGATTTTTTTTTTTTAAAGCAGTTAAGCACTTTTGGGACTGAAACAAAGGTACTAAAAGTAGGAAACAGAAGAAACCAGAGGAATATCGAATCTTGGAAAGGCCTTAGAAACCATCTCATTTTTAAGATTAAGAAAATTAAAGGCTAGAAAGTAGCTGAAGAAAGGTCAAGTGGGTAAAGTCACACTTTCACCCAACCTGTCTCCACCCAACAGTGAATTCTCATGACTCTGGCCGTAGTTATTGAAGGGTAGGTACAATTTAGGGCCATGAAACAGTCAAGTTACTGGTCTCTATGGTAACAGTCTTCAGAGCACCTGATGGAAGCATTTCCATACAAGTCACACTTTATGTATTTATTTATTTTTGAGACAGGGTCTTTGCTCTGTCACCTAGGCTGGAGTGCAGTAGTGTGATCATAGCTCACTCCAGCCTTGAATTCCTGGCCTCAAGTAATCCTCTTCCAAAGTGCTGGAATTATAGTCAGTCTTCCAAAGTGCTGGAATTATAGATGTGAGCCACCCCACCCAGCCCAAATTATACTTTAAAGTGTAATGAATAATAACAATCAAAAACAGACATTTAAAATGATAGGTGTAAAGGACACATAATTTAGTGAACATGATATTGCAATTAAACCTTATTTTGGACACTCTCATGCAGCCAGCTTATTGAAGTGCATGTCTCAGTCTGCACCTGCCAGCTCATTCTGGGCCAGTCTCTGCTAAAGGAGTGCTGCTGAGGTGTGAACCGTTCCAAAGCTGGGCAGTGACCCTGTATCCTTTGCGGAATTTAGCATTCCACATTTCCGCATACTAGAGGCTGGTTTGATATTTGTGACATTGAATCAGCCATGTTATGTTGCACCTGCAGTGGGGAATAGAGAGGCTAGCAGGTTGGAAGGTAAACTTGGCCCAGGGACCTAAATTACTACTTTGGGGTAGAGCCAGGACCAGAGAGGGACCAGGTGGGATTGGTAGTTACAGGTAAAGAGGGTACTCTGCAGGTGGGGAATGATCACATTTCCTGAACCTTGCTTTTGAGATAGGTCTTGATTGACAAATATTCTCTCTGGCTCTGGGAAATGTTGCCTCACTTTGTTTTCAGAACTCCCTTCCTGTGAGTCTCTGATGACAGCTCTTCTCATGCAGGTATAAGCCCTCCTGAGCGGGCAGGCATTCCCTGTGCTTGCATGTAAGACTGAGTCTTACACTTGGGAAAAAGTCTTGCACTTGGGAAAAAGAAAAAAACACATTGGTGTGCCAGATATCAGGGGAACCTGCCCCCAGTAATTCAACGTGAGTCCTTTTCTATTTTCCCTAAGTGTCGGCCAGTCTGAGAAATAAAGGAAAAGAGTACAAAAGAGAGAAATTTTAAAGCTGGTGTCCTGGGGGAGACATCACATGTCGGCAGGTTCTGTGATGCCCCCGAGCCGTAAAACCAGCAAGTTTTTATTAGCAGTTTTCAAAGGGGAGGGTGTTACGAATAGGGTGTGGGTCACAGAGATCACATGCTTCAAGGGCGACAAAAGATCACAAGGCAGAAGGTCAGGGCGGGATCACAAGGTCAGGGCGAAACTAGAACCACTAAAGAACTTCTGTGTCCCGCTGTGCACACATTGTCAGCGTTCAAGAGCAGAGAACCGGTCTGACTAGAATTCGCCAGGCTGGAATTTCCTAATCCTAGCAAGCCTGGGGGTGCTGCAGGAGACTAGGATGTGCTTCATCCCTATCTACATCTGCATAAGGCAGACACTCCTAGGGTGGCCATTTTAGAGGCCCCACCCTGGGAATGCATTCTTTTCCCAGGGCTGTTAATTATTAATATTCCTTACTGGGGAAAGAATTCAGCAATATTTCTCTTACCCATTTTTGGTAATAAGAGAAATATGGCTCTGTCCTGTGCGGCCCACAGGCAGCCAAACTTTAAGGTTATCTCCCTTGTTCCCTGAAAATCACTGTTATCCTGTTCTTAAGGTGCCCAGATTTCATATTGTTCAAACACACATGCTCTACAAACAATTTGTGCAGTTAACACAATCATCACAGGGCCCTGAAGCTACATACATCCTCAGCTTACAAAGATGACAGGATTAAGAGATTAAAGACAGGCATAGGAAATCACAAGAATATTGATTGGAGAAGTGATAAATGTCCATGAAATCTTCACAATTTATATTCTTCTGCCATGGCTTCAGCTGGTCCCTCTGTTCGGGGTCCCTGAGTTCCCGCAACAGGCCGTGGAGCTCAGGATACCTTAATTGTATTGGCCAGGTGAGCTTAGTTGATGTGGATCTGCTCGTGCAAGGTGAGTTGACCTTACTGTAGGCAGTAGGACATGTTCAGAGATCTGTAATTTCATTTGGTGGAATGTACAGTAACCTTGATAATTTGGTGACTAGAGAAAAATGGGTTTTTTGGGGGGAAAGAAGTGTATCAGAATTGTTTTATAACTAATTAGCCATTAAAATGAACCTGAAATAGTAGTATAGACATGCAAATTGTAGGACCACTCCTAAGTGTTGAGTATAATCATATTTATTGAATTAAGTCCTCATTAATTTAGCTTTATTTTCTTATGTTTGTTCCTGAGTGTGCCTAAGTGAGTCTTTCCCTCCTGCCCTGACGCTGCTTGGGCCCTCCTCTGTGTGCACACAGGGTGAGCGTGTGTGGGTGTGCATATCTCGTCAGCTGATATTATCCCTCTGGAGGAAAGGGGTGGTTCCACAGAGTTGACCGTACTGCTCCCAAACCAGGCCCTGCACCTGCATTGAGTCCTGGGTCTTCTGAGAACATGTTCTGATGTCCTTCCCTAGCCTGCCCTCCTGGAGTTCCCTCCTCAAGATGCACCTTCTCTCTTTCTAAGAGGAGAAAAGGTGACTCCGCTGAGTCCTACCTCCTCGACAAAGCGCCCTGACCACTTGGACCCAGTGATTCCAGAGAGTCCTTCGCAGGCCCTCATCCTTACTGTTTGTACCACTTGCTGGGCATATAACTTACTGCCTTCTGTTATTTTTAGGGATGTGTGCACATCTTGCATCTCTAGTTTAACAACGGTTGCTTGAGTTAGAGCCTTTGTGGGATTGCTGAGCTGCTTGAGAGGGCACAAATGAAGCAAGACTGAGGAGTTAAAGAATTTTAAGGCTCTCTCTGTTTTTTTGTGTGTGTTTTTTTGTTTGTTTGTTTAAGCCTTTGCAGAGCCATGGATTTTCCTAGTATGCTACTGAACACTAGATCTTATTCCTTCTATCTGACTGTATTTTTATGCCCATTAGCCATGTTCTCTTTATTCCCTCCTCCCCACAACCCTTCCCAGCTTCTGGTAACTGTCATTCTACTCAGAATCTCCATGAGGTCAATTTTTTTCTTTAGCTCCTACGTATGAGTGAAAACCACACGTCATTTGTCTTTCTGTGCCTGGCTTATTTCATTTAACATAATGTCCTCCAGTTCCATCCATGTTGTTGTAAATGACAGGAGTTCACTTTTTTTTATGGCTGAATAATATTCCCATGTGTGTATATGCCACACTTTTCTTTATCCATTTAACTCTTGATGGACACAGGTTAATTCCATATCTTGGTTATTTGACTGGTGCTACAGTAAACATGGGAGTACAGATAACTCTTTGACAAACTGATTTCCTTTGTTTTGGATATTTACCTAGCAATAGGGTTGCTGGATTGTATGGTAGTTCTATTTTTAGTTTTATGAAGATTCTCCATACTAAACGTTCCGTCCAACAATATATGAGGGTTCCCTTTTCTCCACATTCTTGCCAGCATCTGTTATTGCCTTTCTTCTTGGAAAAAGCTGTTTTAACTGGGGTGAGATGGTATCCCATTGTAGTTTTGATTTGCATGTCTCTGATTAGTGATGTTGGGCATTTTTTTTTCATATACCTGATGGCCATTTGTATGTCTTCTTCCAATAAATGTCTGTTCAGATCTTTTGCCAATATTTTAATTGTATTATTTATTTTTTCCTATTGAGTTGTTTGAATTTCTTATATATTCTGTTTATTAATCCCTTGTCAGATGGGTGGTTTGCAAATACTTTCTCCCATTCTGTGAGTTGTCTTTTCCCTTTGTTTATTGTGTCCTTTGCAGTGCAGAAGCTTTTTAGCTTGATGTGATTCCCCGCCGCCTCTGAGCTGGAGTCTTGCTCTGTCGCCCAGGCTGGAGTGCAGTGGTGCAATCTCAGCTCACTGCAACCTCTGTCTCCTGGGTTTAAGCAATTCTCCTGCCTCAGCCTCCTGAGTAGCTAGGATTACAAGGATGTGCCACCACACCTACTAATTTTTGTATTCTTAGTAGAAACAGTGTTTCACCATGTTGGCCAGGCTGGTCTTGAACTCTTGACCTCATGATCCGCCCATGTCGGCCTCCCAAAGTGCTGGGATTACAGGCGTGAGCCACTGCGCCCAGCCCAGCTTGGTGTGATCTTATTTGTCCACTTTTGCTTTGGTTGCCTGTGCTTTTGAGGTCTTACTCAGGAAATCTTTGTAAGGCTCTTTCTATTTTGAAAGCATGTTTAAGAACTTGCTGCACTTTAAAAAGTTGAGTTTACATAAGATTGTAATATTTATCAACATGAGTCACATTTTCACTTTCTTGTTCATTTGCACACTTTAGATCTAAATGCCGAGAACTAGGTTTTTGTTTATATAGCCTCGGTTGTCTCTGGAAGGAAAAATAGTTCCACGTGCCTGATCCATTCAGAGATGTAATTGCATAGCCTACCTGGTAGCTTAAGCATATAAGTTTCCTAGAATAATGAGACAACTAATGTACAATATGTGTTTTAAATTTTGTATTTGATACTTTAAATACAAATGCAAGACTGTGTGCTCAGTTGCCTATATTTACTGACTTCTTGAAAGGGTGGATTGAAGGCACCATGGCATAAAGAATGTAGGATTTGGACTCAGACCTTGAATCAGTTGTTAGTTCTGTCACCTACTAGCTGTATAATCTTCAACATGGCCCCTTAGCTGTAAAGCAAGGATAAAAAATCATATAGGGCTGTTGTGAGGATTAAGTCGAATAATGTATATTTATTTCATATATAAAATATCTGGTACAGTGTTTGACCCTAAGAATAGGCTCAATAAATGATCACTGCTAGGCTTCCTATAGTGAACGATGAGATTAAAAATAAATGTGTGTGTGTGTGTGTGTGTGTGTGTGTGTGTGTGTGTAGGCACTGCCTCCACCAGGACAGCCCCCGGGTGATGTGTAGAGAATCTGTACCCACCACAGCAGGGAAAATGGAGGACAAAGGGGGTTCCTGTGATGGCGTGTTCAGGGGCCTCCAGGAGGAGTAGGAGTTGTGCATGCTTGGAGCCCTGTGTGAGCGCGCCTGGGCTCTGTATGTTCTTTGTCTATGAAGGGGAGGGGCTTTGACTCCACAGGGGAGGTTTGCTGTAGTTCCTGTCAAAGGGCTGAGCTAGACTGGAACTCAGATTCTGGTTGAAACTGTGTCCAAAATGGTGTTGTGATTTAGATTCTTCAAACTTGGTTAGTTAACTCATTGCTGGTCTGCTTTTTCTTTTCTTGTGTTTCTAACCAAGCCAAATGCAACGGAAGGTAATGCAGGGAAGGGAATGGTGAGTGTTACGGGCTGAACATTTGTGTTCCCTCCTAAATTCAGCTTAAACCTTAACCTCCAAAGTCATAGTGTTAGGAAGTGAGGCTTTGGGAAGTGATTTGGGTCATGAGGATGGAGCCATCACGAATGGCCTTCTTAGGCCCTAGAGAGCTCGCACCCTCTTTCCCTCACATGAGGATACAAGGAGAAGGTGGCCACCTGCAGTCCAGAAAAGAGCCCTTGTCACAGCCCCACCATGCTGGCCCCCTGATCTCAGACTTCCAGCCCCCAGGACTGTGGGAAATAAATTTCTGTGGTTCATAGCTGCCTAGTCTGTGGTACTTTGCTATAGCAGCCTGAACTAAGACAGGCAGGAAAAGACTAATGGCTCCTCACTGATTTAAAATACTTTTAAAAAATCTATTGGGACAAATAGTTTGTCTTAAAATGAAAATACTAACAAAGTGAAGTGCATGGAGAAAATACTAATAAAATTAAGTACATGTGGATGTCAGGCCCCTGAGCCCAAGCTAAGCCATCATATCCCCTGTGACCTGCACGTATACATCCAGATGGCCTGAAGCAACTGAAGATCCACAAAAGAAGTGAAAATAGCCTTAACTGATGACATTCCACCATCGTGATTTGTTTCTTCCCCACCCTAACTGATCAATGTACTTTGTAATCTCCCCCACCCTTAAGAAGTTTCTTTGTAATCTCCTCCACCCTTAAGAATGTTCTTTGTAATTCTCCCCACCCTTGAGAATGTTCTTTGTGAGATCCACCCCCTGCCCGCAAAACATTGCTCCTAACTCCACCACCTATCCCAAAACCTATAAGAACTAATGATAATGCCACCACCCTTTGCTGACTCTTTTTTCGGACTCAGCCCACCTGCACCCAGGTGAAATAAACAGCCTTGTTGCTCACACAAAGCCTGTGTGGTGGACTCTCTTCACACAGACGTGTGAGACAGCGGACTTTGTTTTACTGAGCTTCCCTTTATTGGACTTTGCAGATAGTGTGTTTTTTACAAATTGAAGTTCCCGCATCAAGCAAGTCTTTCGGTGCCATGTTTTCAACAGCGTATATTCACTTTATATCTCTGTGGTACATTTTGGTAATTGTCACAATATTTCAAGCTTTTTCATCATTATATCTTTTATGGTGATCAGTACTTTTTGATGTTACTGTTGTAATTGTTTCAGGGTGACACAAACTGTGTGCATATAAGACAGTGATCTTAGTAAATGTTGTATGTGTTATGACTGTTCCACCGGCTGGCCATTCCCCCATTTCCCTTTCTCCTTGAGCCTCGCTGTTGCCTGAGATGACAATATTGAAATTATGCCAGTGAATAACCCTACGGTGATCTCTAAGTGTTCAAGTGAAAGGAAGAATCACAGGTCTCTGACTTTAAATCAAAAGCTAGAAATGAGTAACTCAATGAGGAAGACATATCTAAAGCCGAGACAAGCTGAAAACCAGGCCTCTTGAGCCAAACTGTTAGCCAAGTTGTGAATGCAAAGGAAAAGTTTTTGAAGGAAATTAAAAGTGCTACTCCAGTGAACATGTGAATGATAAGAAAGCAAAACAGGCTTATTGCTGATATGGAGAAAGTTTTAGTGGTCTGGATGGAAGATCAAACAGCTCTAACATTTCTATTAGCCAAAGACTAATCCAAAGAATGTCCTAACTCTCTTTAATTCTGTGAAGGCTGAGAGAGGTGAGGAAACTGCAGAAGAAAAGTTTGTAGCTAGCAGAGGTTGGTTCATGAGGTTTAAGGAAAGAAGCCATCTTTATAACATAAAAGTGCAGGGTGAATGCAATGGTGCAATCATGGCTCACTGCAGCCTCAAACTCCTGGATTCAAGCAATCCTCCCTGCCTTAGCCTTCCAAGTAGCTGGGACCACAGGTGCATGCCACCATGCCTGGCTAATAGACAAGATGTTGCTACATTCATCAGGCTGGCTTTGGACTCCTGGCCTCAGGCTATCCTCCTTCCTCAGACTACTATTGGGGGAACCCACCCCCAATATTTCAGTGTAGGTTCTTTCTATTTTCCCTAAGTGTCAGCCAGTCTGAGAAATAAAGAGTACAAAGAGAGGAATTTTACAGCTGGGCCGCCAGGCGTGACATCACATATCGGTAGGACCGTGATGCCCACCTGAGCCACAAAACCAGCAAGTTTTATTAAGGATTTCAAAAGGGGAGTGGGTGTAAGAACAGGGAGTAGGTCACAAAGATCACATACTTCAAAGGGCAAAAAACAGAACTACTGATAAGAGTCCAACAAAGATGGCAAGGCAAAGGGCAAAAGCAGAATTACTGATAAGAATGTATTTTCAGCGGTGCACGTATTGTCTTGATAAACATCTTAACAGAAAGCAGGGTTCAAGAGCAGAGAAGTGGTCTGACCTCAAATTTACCAGGGCAGGGTTTTTCCCTACCCTAGTAAGCCTGAGGGTACTGCAGGAGACCAGGGCTTATTTCAGTCCTTATGTCAACCGCGTAAGACAGACACTCCCAAAGCAGACGTTTATAGATCTGCCCCCAGGAATGCAATCCTTTTCCCAGAGTATTAATAACAATATTCCTTGCTAGGAAAAGAATTTAGTGATATCTTCCCTACTGGCACGTCCGTTTATAGGCTCTCTTCAAGAAGAAAAATATGGCTCCTTTTGCCCGACCCCACAGGCAGTCAGATCTTATGGTTGTCTTCCCTTGTTCCCTAAAAATTGCTGTTATTCTGTTCTTTTTCAAGGTGCACTGATTTCATATTGTTCAAACACATATGTTTTACAATCAATTTGTACAGTTAACACAGTTATCACAGGGTCCTGAGGTGACGTACATCCTCAGCTTACGAAGATAACAGGATTAAGAGATTAAAGTAAGACAGGCATAAGAAATTATGAAAGTATTATTTGGGAAGTGATAAATGTCCATGAAGTCTTCACAATTTATGTTCCTCTGCCACAGCTCCAGCCGGTCCCTCCCTTTGGGGTCCCTGACTTCCTGCAATAGACTACCAAAGTGTTAGGATTACAGGCATGAGCCACTGCACCTCATCTGAACATAACTCTCGTATGCACTAGGAAACCAAAAAATGGTGTGACTCGATTTATTTTGATCTTTGCTTTATTATAGTGATCTAGAACCAAACCTGCAGTATCTACAAGTTATGCTGATATATGGATTATTCCTATCACTTTTGTTTGGCTTATCAAATAAAAAAAGCATCTGTAACTTTATACTTGGGTTTCTTTTAGCACCAAAAAGTTCAGTGTTTTGGGTTCTAAAGATTCATTTAGGCAGAGTATTTAATGATTTAAGACTGGTGTAGATTGAAGCTTTTGCTGAAATGAAACCCCTTTAGCCACTCTTCCTTTCCTTTCTTCCTTCTTGAAGGTTTACATTTTTCTCCTTTCCTCATGACTTGATGATGATTCTGTAATTGTCTGATCTGCTACTTGCTAATTTGGCATTAAATTTCAAGTTAATATGTGTGTGCATCTTTTTTGCCCCTCAAAATTTGGATGAAAGATGTGACCATAGCTGCAGCAGACATGAAAGGTGAAGTTCCTCCTGCAATCCCAGAATGTGGAAATGGTAGGGAGGGTTTTTTCCCTGGCAAATCACTTTTGTTGTGCTTTTTTCTAAAATAAGCCATTGCAATATTTCTTATAGGGCTTTCAGCGACAGAAATCCGTACTTGCCTGCACTTTGAGGATAATTGATATTAATAATGTGATCTTAAGGGCATTATTGGATTCCAGAGTGTCTTCTGAATTATTAATGAAAGATTATCTTAAGCATAGTTTTTTAGTTCATTGCATTTTATTGCATTATAATTAACTGAAAAGTAGAAATTTGTATATTTCATATAAATGAGAACCTTTTCATTTAACAGTAGCACATAATCCATTAACATATGTATAGAAATCTGTAAGTATAGAAATATGAAATATATACATGTTTCTAAGGCAATCACTTCCTACCATTCTACTGCTAAGCCTGGTCTAAGCTCATCCCTTGTTTGGATTAGTGCACTGACATACTTGGTTACCAGGCTTCTCTTCTGGACTTTTCTTTTAGTCCACATAACGGCCAAAATAGTATTTACAAGCATCCAGAGACCAATCTACCCTCTGACTTGCTTAGCCCTCTACTGGCCCCTTGACTCATTACTGTGCTGTCAGGCCCTCTTCATCGCTTGTGCCTCTGACTTCATCTCCTGCCATCTCTTTGAGGTAAAGTCTTCCTGCCTGCTGACCTTCCTGAAGTGAGCCAAGCTTGCTCCTAGGGGCCTAGGCCCTTAGTGCCAGCTGTCTCCCCTGCCTGGGTGGTGCCTTCTTGACACTTAGATTCTACTGTGTTTAAGGTGACTTCCTCCGGCCTTCCCTGACTGCATCACAAGTTATCCCTTCTCCACCTTTTTTATCACTATTAGATTTTTTTTTCTGAAATAACACTTGGATTATTTTACTTCTTTGATTTAAGAATCTATAAGGTAGAATGTTTTTGGATGAGAAAAAAAAAGAATCTGTAAGTGTTTTCTAAATTGCATATTTCATCAAATGAAAACTCTCCAACCTGGGTTTTTTTTTTCTTGATCTTTATTTCTCATTTGAACATTTATGTTTTAGAGAAAATACTTAGAGTCCCTTTCCTTGCTGAGATTCTGTATTTCTAGCAATTGATCACTTAAACAACGTAAACCTTAATAGATAAATGCCATAAATCCACTGGCCCTGTGCATTATTTTATGTTTTGGTCTTTTTTTTTTTTTTAAGGTTTTTTTTTTTTTTTAGTATTTATTGATCATTCTTGGGTGTTTCTCGGAGAGGGGGATGTGGCAGGGTCATAGGATAATAGTGGAGAGAAGGTCAGCAGATAAACACGTGAACAAAAGTCTCTGGTTTTCCTAGGCAGAGGTCCCTGCGGCCTTCCACAGTGTTTGTGTCCCTGGGTACTTGAGATTAGGGAGTGGTGATGACTCTTAATGAGCATGCTGCCTTCAAGCATCTGTTTAACAAAGCACATCTTGCACCGCCCTTAATCCATTTAACCCTGAGTTGACACAGCACATGTTTCAGAGAGCAGGGGGTTAGGGGTAAGGTTATAGATTAACAGCATCCCAAGGCAGAAGAACATTTCTTGGTACAGAACAAAATGGAGTCTCCTATGTCTCCTTCTTTCTACACAGACACAGTAACAATCTGATCTCTCTTTCTTTTCCCCACATTTCCCCCTTTTCTTTTTGACAAAACTGCCATTGTCATCATGGCCCGTTCTCGATGGTCGCTGTCTCTTCGGAGCTGTTGGGTACACCTCCCAGATGGGGCGGCTGGGCAGAGGGGCTCCTCACTTCCCAGATGGGGCAGCTGGGCAGAGGCGCTCCTCACTTCCTATACGGGGCGGCCGGGCAGAGGCGCTCCTCACCTCCCAGACAAAGGGCGGCCGGGCAGAGGTGCTCCTCACTTCCCAGATGGGGCGGCCGGGCAGAGGCGCTCCTCACCTCCCAGACGAAGGGCGGCCGGGCAGAGGCACTCCTCACCTCCCAGATGAAGGGCGGCCGGGCAGAGGCGCTCCCCATTTCCCAGATGGGGCAGCCGGGCAGAGGCGCTCCTCACTTCCCAGACGGGGCAGCCGGGCAGAGGCGCTCCTCACTTCCCAGACGGGGCGGCCAGGCAGAGGCGCTCCTCACTTCCCAGATGGGGCAGCCGGGCAGAGGCGCTCCTCACTTCCCAGATGGGGCAGCTGGGCAGATACACTCCTCACTTCCCACACGGGGCGGCTGCCCGGCAGAGGCGCTCCTCACCTCTCAGACGGGGTGGCCGGGCAGAGGCGCTCCTCACATCCCAGATGGGGCGGCCGGGCAGAGGCGCTCCTCACCTCCCAGATGGGGCGGCTGCCGGTCAGAGGTGCTCCCTCACATCCCAGATGGGGCGGCCGGGCAGAGGCACTCCTCACCTCTCAGATGGGGCGGCCGGGCAGAGGTGCTCCTCACTTCCCAGATGGGGTGGCAGCCGGGCAGAGGCGCTCCTCACATCCCAGACGGGGCGGCTGGGCAGAGGCGCTCCTCACCTCCCAGATGGGTTGGCAGCTGGGCAGAGGTGCTCCTCACCTCCCAGACGAAGGGTGGCCGGGCAGAGGCGCTCCTCACATCCCAGACGATGGGTGGCCGGGCAGAGGCGCTCCTCACCTCCCAGATAGGGTGGCAGCCGGGCAGAGGCGCCCCTCACTTCCCAGACGGGGTAGCGGCTAGGCAGAGGCGCTCCTCACATCCCAGACGGGGCAGCCGGGCAGAGGTGCTCCTCACTTCCCAGACGATGGGCGGCCGGGCAGAGGTGCTCCTCAATTCCCAGACGGGGTGGCTGGGCAGAGGCACTCCTCACTTCCTCCCAGACGGGGCGGCCGGGCAGAGGCGCTCCTCACCTCCCAGATGGGGCGGCCGGGCAGAGGCGCTCCTCACCTCCCAGACGGGGCGGCCGGGCAGAGACGCTCCTCACCTCCTAGGTGGGGCGGCCGGGCAGAGGCACTCCCCACTTCCCAGACGGTGTGGCGGCCGGGCAGAGGCACTCCTCACCTCCCAAACGGGGCGGCCGGGCAGAGGCGCTCCTCACTTCCCAGGCGGGGCAGCCGGGCAGAGGCGCTCCTCACTTCCTCCCAGACGGGGCAGCCGGGCAGAGGCACTCCACTTCCCAGACGGGGCAGCCGGGCAGAGGCGCTCCTCACTTCCCATTCGGGGCAACCGAGCAGAGGCGCTCCTCACTTCCTCCCAGACGGGGCGGCCGGGCAGAGGCTCTCCTCACTTCCTAGACAGGGTGGGGGCCAGGCAGAGGTGCTCTTCACTTCCCAGACGGGGCGGCCGGGCAGAGGGGCTCCTCACATCCCAGACGATGGGCGGCCAGGCAGAGACGCTGCTCACTTCCTAGATGGGGTGGCGGGCGGGCAGAGGCTGTAATCTTAGCACTTTGGGAGGCCAAGGCAGGCGGCTGGGAGGGGGAGGTTGTAGCAAGCCGAGATCACGCCACTGCACTCCAGCCTGGGCAACATTGAGCACTGAGTGAGTGAGACTCTGTCTGCAATCCCAGCACCTCGGGAGGCCGAGGCAGGCAGATCACCCGAGGCCAGGAGCTGGAGACCAGCCCGGTCAACACGGCAAAACCCCGTCTCCACCAAAAATACAAAAACCAGTCAGGAATGGTGGCATGTGCCTGGAATCCCAGGCACTCGGCAGGCCGAGGCAGGAGAATCACGGGAGCCCGAGGCAGGGAGGTTGCAGCGAGCTGAGATCATGGCAGTACAATCCAGGCTTGGCAAGAGAGGGAGACCGTAGAAAGAAAGGAAGAGGGGAGAGGGGAGATGGGAGAGGGGAGAGCTTTTTTTTTTTTTTAAAGAAGAGTCTTGCTCTGTTGCCCAGGCTGGAGTGAAGTGGTGCAATCTCGGCTCACTGCAGCCTCCGCCTCCCGGTTTCCAGCGATTCTCTTGCCTCAGACTCCTTGGTGGCTGGGATTACTGCCACCACTGCTGGCTAACTTTTGTATTTTTAGTAGAGATAGGGTTTCACCATGTTGGCCAGGCTGGTCTTGAACTCCTGACCTCAGGCAGTTCACCTGCCTCGGCCTCCCAAAGTGCTAGTATTACAGGCATGAGCTACCACGCCTGGCCCTGTTTTGGTCTTTATCAGTGGCTGTGTATGCTTTCACAGAGTTCAAATGGGTGCGAACTTGTCCCTGGATACTTTGCATTGCATTTTTATATGGATGGTCCTGAGTTATACAGTACTGAACCCCGAATACTAACACTTATGTAGGCACCTTGATGAAAAACTAGAGTGATGTTAGGTATGAATGCTTGATTAAGCCCATTCTTTTAGTGCAGAACTGCCTTGTGGCTCAGCCTGTGTAGCTGAGATGAGCATTTCTTAGCCTTGCACTATATATTTTTGTGCCTCAGTTCTCTGTGAAGTCTTCTTATGAGGCTGAGGCTGTGCAAGACTTGGTGAGAGTGTTAGCTTCTGAATAGAGAGGCTTCAGCAACCCGTTTTTGCAAATTAATCAAAAGTTGAATAAGGCTTGTTGTTAAATTAAAATTGTATTGCCTGTTTACAAGTGATAGTTATACATACTGTGTTCTTAAGATATGAAAAAGCACTGGTGGCATTTCCTGGGAAAAACGTAGTGGATTTGCTCCCTTTTATAACTGTATTTGTGGACTTTACAAACTTAGACACCTTATGTAACTCAGGGATTGTCTATATTGACAAAGCTGATGAATTTGTGATGTGTAATAATTAAGTAGCATCTTTTTGTGTTGTTAAACTTTTTTTTTTTTTTTTTTTTTTTTTTTTTGAGACAGAGTCTCACTCTGTTGCCCAGGTTGGAGTGCAGTGGCGCCATCTCAGCTCACTGCAGCCTCCACCACATCCTGGGTTCAAGCGATTCTCCTGCCTCAGCCTCCCGAGTAGCTGGGATTATAGGCATGTGCCACCCCACCCAGCTAATTTTTGTATTTTTAGTAGAGACAGGGTTTCACCATGTTGGCCAGGCTGGTCTTGAGCCCCTGACCTCAGATGATGCGTCTGCCTTGGCCTCCCAAAGTGCTGGGATTACAGGCGTGAGCTACCACACCCAGCCCCATTATTTGTTTAAATAATTACTTATTGGGGCATTTAAAAATATATTTATATTTTCCTTAGAATAAATACTGTGTTAGTCTGTACAAATTCTTTTGGGGCTGCAGTCTCAAAAGTGGAATGAATAGGATTAAAAACTTGAATAGTTTAAAATTTTTCTTGTATATTTCCAGATATCCATTGGAAAGACTGGCAAAATCATGAGGACCAGGTTTTTTAAGAAGAGACTTCTGGAGTCTAAAATTTCTAGATCTTATGAAGTCTTAATTTGTTGTTAATTAAAGGATATAAAGTGGTTTATCAAGTTTTAGTTTCTACTTTTTCATTTATTCATTAGATGAAATTTTAAATATTATCCATTTGTCATGATATGGACTGACACTGGTTCTTTTTTTGAGACGGAGTCTTACTCCGTCACCAGGCTGGAGTGCAGTGGCACGATCTCGGCTCACTGCAAACTCCACCTCCCGGGTTCAAGTGATTCTCCTGCGTCAGCCTCCCGAGTACCTGGGATTACAGGTGCCCACCACCACGCCTGGCTAATTTTTGTATTTTTAGTAGAGCTGGGGTTTCACCATGTTGGCCAGGATGGTCTTGATCTCTTGACCTTGTGATCCACCCGTCTTGGCCTCCCAAAGTGCTGGGATTACAGGCGTGAGCCACCGTGCCTGGCCCCGATACTGGTTCTTTAACTTTTGGGAGGATAGTAAATTTTTTAATGTTGGATTTGGCGTGTTCTCCCCATCCATTAAAACATTGTTTTTTATTTAAATATTGGAAAAAACCTTTCTCCTTTAATCACACCCTCTGTATCTCTAATAATCACATTTGGCTTTGTTTTATAGTTAAATACATACATCTATTTATTTTAAGATGTTATTATGATTTAAGTAATAAAGGAAAAGTGTATGAGTTTTTGCTCTCAAAATATTCTTTCGTATTTGTGTCTACTTAATTTTTCTGATAAATTTTACAATCATTTTTTATTCGAAGTAGGCAAGCCTGCAGAGAGCAGGCTCCAGCTGATGAAAAAAGTTTTCAGGCCCCAAATAAGGGTGAACCAGCTAGAAACCTTCCTTAGGATTGATATTGCTATGTAGCATGGCTGTCCCCATCGACCTCCCAGGCCTCCTGGCTTCAGTAATTTGTGCTGTGTCTCCCAGTCCCTGCCTCTATGTGGCTCTTTCCACAGAGTTTTTGATAATGCTTCAAACCTACATATGAATTGGGCAGATGTCTCTGTTGCTGTATTTAGTATTCCAGATAGAATCCTCATATATCTCTCCACTTGTCTTTCTTTATTCCCATTAGGGTTTTAAAATTTTCTTTAAATAGATTGCTTATATCCTACTTAAAGTTAATTCTCCCAAATTGGTGTTTTGCAAATGTGATTGCTTTGCAATTTTATTTTCAGATCCTGTAGCTATGTATAATTTTTTGAAATTTTGAAACCAAGGACAATACACATTTATATATATTTAAATTTATTTATTACGGTACTCTTTGTAAATTGAGGGTGGTGTACCTAGTAAAATTCTCAGTGTGTTCTTTTTTCTGCACTACCTGAAAATACCTTTTCTATTTTCAGTCTACAAGTTTACAGCTTCTTTAATTCGTTCAGGTGTCACTTTATTGAGTGCTATTTGTGGAGAAACAGATACAGAGTCTGAAAATACTGCATTGCTTGTTTGTTAATATGTTCAAATGCACTTTTATCTTCTATCTTTAAATCTCTGTGAATAGATCATTCTTAAAGTCCTTGCAAGCACTGAAATTGTTTCTGGAGATTAAAACAAAGTGAATTCTCTAACAATAAAAATATTTTAAATAGACTTAGATTTTATTGATGGAAGGTAGAAGTACCTGGGCATTCCCTAAAGGGGTTTTATTTTATGTGGGCGCTTGTTGAGAAATGTCTGAGAACAGCATCTTCTCTGAATCAGCTGCAGTGGTTGCTGTGGTCATCGGCCCCAGAGTCTTCGGGGAGCAATTTTGTTGACACAGGAGATGTTCTCATCTAGCATGTGTCCTCACCTGAAGGCCCATCAGGATTCTTAGCTGGCACCGTTTCCTGAGGAGTGCCTTTGGAAGGAATCTTCAGAGTAATTGTGTGACCACTGGTAACCTTAGGGAATTTTACTAGAGGATTGTGTCTTTATTTTCCCTAGTATTTGTACTTCTCCTTGGAGGAAGGTATTTAATAATTTTGGTTGACGGAAAAACAAAGGAGTGAACTAATAAGGATAGAAGCTAATATATGAATAGCCTTTATGTGTTTTATGTTTTTTTAAGTTGATCTCTAAGGCATTTGGAGAGCATCCAGCTACATGATGTCATTACCGAACAAGTGAAGCCATGGGGCATACATTCTGTCGTACTCACAGGCTGGCATTTTCCATTATGTTACCACATTTGTCGACTGGTGTCACCAAGAACAAATGCAAACATCTGTCTTCTTGTAGATGTGGAATATTTGTAATAGGCATACTTAACACGGTATCAGCTTTTTCTTGTTTCATTGCTTTAGGGAAAAAAATGTATTGAGATGGCTTGCTGACAGATGTGAATAAAGAATAAAATGTTTGCCCTTGGCTGGGCATGGTGGCTCATGCCTGTAGTCCCAGCACTTTAGGAGGCCAAGGCGGGAGGATCACTTAAGGTCAGGGATTTGAGTCTAGTCTGGGCAACGTAGCAAGACCCCATCTCTAAAAAACAACATTGGCTGGGTACAGTGGTGCACACCTATAGTCCTGGCTGCTCAGGAAGCTGAGGCGGGATGATTGCTTGGGCCCAGGAGTTCTAGGTTACAGTGAGCTATAACTGCGCCACTGTACTCCAGTCTAGGTGACAGAGCAAGACCCCATCTCAAAAAAAAAAAAAAAACCAGAAAGCCCTCAAGATGCTCATTTGCTCATTGTCAAGTATAAATAATTGCCATACAGGAAAATAATAGTTGGGTACAGTTGTGTACGTGGTGTGAGAAATTCTGAGGAAGTTCTTCAGGGGATGATTCAGACCAGCTGAATTATAAGCAGAAGTTTTTTGTTGGTTTTTGTTGTTGTTGTTTTTGAGACAAAGTCTTGCTCTGTCACCTAGACTGGAGTACAGTGGCACAGTTATAGCTCACTGTAACCTAGAACTCCTGGGCCCAAGCAATCATCCCGCCTCAGCTTCCTGAGTAGCTGGGACTACAGGAATGTGTCCCAGCTACTGTCCCATGCCCAGGTAATTAAAATAATTATTTTGTAGAGGTGGGGGTCTTGTTCTATTACCCAAGCTGGTCTTGAACTCCTAGCCTTAAGTGATCCTCCTGCCTTGGCCTCCCAAAGTGCTGGGATTATAGACATGAGCCACTGTGACTGGCCTATAAGCAGAGTTTTGAAGGGTAAATGAAAATTTATGAGGAGAGTGGTTTGTCCAAGAGTCCAGGTAGTAGACAAGGAAGCTGGAAGAGTGGATGGAGCCCTGAGTACCAAGGAAAGGATATCCTGTTTTATCTGCATTTACAAAAGCTCTGTTCATGTGTAGTGTAGGTTCTGAATAGGAGGGGAGGAGGGACTGGGAGCTGGGACTTTGGTTAAAAGGCTTTTGCAAGAATCTAGGCAAAAAGGGTGGGCTCAGGAAATGGGAATGGAGAGGTTAAATTTGAAAGATATGTAGGGAGTAAAATTAGTGGGATCATGGACAGGTTTGGTGTAGGTGGCAAGTAAGAAGGTTACAGCCCAGAATGACTCTCAACTTATGAGTGGATGCCATTGACCCATATGAACAATACAAACGAGAAATCTGTTAAAAATTCAAGTTCAAATTTATACATGCAACAACATGGATTAATCTCAAGAACATTATACTGAGTGAAAGAAGCTGGACATGGGTGACCACACATAGTACATTATTTCATTTATATGAAACTCTAGAAAAGACAGAAGACTGACCAGTGATTGCCTGGGGCCACTGAGTGGTAGAGGTACAAGAAGATTTTTGGGGTGAGAAATCTTGATTGTGGTGGTAGTTACATGGATGTATAAATGTGTCAAAATTCGTTGAAAGGTCCACTTTAATGTTTGCATCTTATTTGTTTACATTATACTTCAATAAAGTTAATTTTTAAAATTCAATTTAGGTCTGGGCCAGAGAGAAGTAAACATTTGTGAGTTAGTGGTGTTTAAATCGTGGCTGAAATTCCAGGAATGGATGAAATCATCCAAGCCACATATTGAGGATAAAAAAAGGACCAAAGAAAGTGGCCTAGGGGGTCCCAAGCTTTAAGGGGAAGGGAGGGAAATAAGAGCCTTTGAGGACAACAGGAGTGGTTAGAGCTGACCAGAGGACAGTGACATGAATCCAGGGAAGAGAATTTCACAAATGGAAGGGTGCAGAAGTTTCCCTCACTGCAAAGATGTCAAGATCAGGACTATTGGATTCAGCAGTTTGGAGGTCGTTGTTTTTCAGTGAAATTGTGGTTGATTGCAGATACTGAGCATGAGAGCCCAGAGAGGGTAGGGAAGACTGATACTGGCATTCTTTCAGGAATTCTGGCTATGCAGGGGGCCAGAAAAATGGGCAGTTAGGTGGTTGGGGCTTAGGTGGTTGGGGCATCCAGGGTCCAATTCTTAACAACGTCAGGATCCTTTCATCTTTTATACATTGAGGGGCTCTGGTAGAAAAAGCCAGATGGTAGATAGGGTAATTGACGGGGAGGGGCTCAGGAGCATGGGACAAAAGGAGAGGGCAGTGCTGTAAGGTAGATGCCAAGGTGATGAAACAGAGGGGACCTGGAGGCTGGTGTAAGGAGGAGCTGAAGCTGTAAAGTAACTCCTTAGGAACTGGGAAAGAGGACTGACCATGAGTGAGTAGAGGGGTTGCCCAGGAGAGTTAGGAGTTAGGTCAGAAACCACGCAGTGGTTTTCTGGTAATTTTCCCCAGCTGTGCCTAGCAACATGGGGGTAGGCACTTCCATTTCCAAAAAAATAGATCTCTGTCACAGAATAATAGTGGCTGACATTTTCTTAAATCTGCTGACTAGGAGGCTTCAGGATACAACCTCTGCCCACAGCCCCCAGGCCCCAGGGAGTGCCCGAGCGTCCTCCAGATGGGGTGGGCAGCACGGCCCCTAGCTTCTCCCGTCTGCAGCACCCTCTCTGGATATGCTATTGCTAGGAGTTGTATTTGTGGTGGATTTTGTGACTCTTCGAGTCAAGGTTTTATTTGTCTAGAAATGAGAGCCTTGTCTGAGGAGAACATGCATTTTTTAATGAAACGTGACAGGATTTGCCACTGGTGTTACCAGCAGGCCTGGGCAGAGGCCTGTGTCAGGTTTAAATGTGAGCTGCAGGCAGAGTCATTTGTTTGTGGTCCATCTTCTAACAGTCATTTTGAAATGTCAGTGTTCACTTCTGGTTGGAGGACCACCCTGAGAAGATTCTCTTTCCCAGGAGTCAGTATTGGCTTGTGATGCACGTCTAAGATCCTACATAAAAATGACTATAGTAAGCCAGCAGCCCTGCGGCGGCCAGCAATTCCATTAGATGAGTAGGAAGAGAGCTGTGCTTTCTGCTGTTGTTTTTACTGGCTGGTGAAGCTATACCTTTGCTCTGATGTTATACCCAGAAAGGGAATCGTCTCCTGAAACTTGAAGTGTTCCTCTGATGCCGAGGCCTGGCCTTCCCTGAGGGATTGCCCCAAGGTCCCTACACCAGTGCTGGCCCAGGCTTGCCCTCTCCAGTCACTCTGGTTTGTTGTCAGGCAGAGAATTTTCACTTTCATCTTTGCTGCTGACTTCGCCCTCTCACCTCTTAATTTTTTTTCTTTGTAAAATTTAGGACCTTAGTTACGTGTCGTATTGAGAAAGCATAGATGACTGAAGATCCATCAGGCTTGGAGTCTTCATTACATACTTAGTAAGGAGGTGAGGTTGGGTGTGACGCTCATTCTTCTGGACCCAGTGTCCTCTTCTGTGAGCAAAGGATTGTGGTTGTGTCTGCCCTGACACATAGGAGTGCTCTGTGGGTTAACTCAGAACAGAAGTGGGACTCTGAACATTTTAAAGCAGCACACACATTAGTTGTTTTTAATGTTACTAATCCAGAGAAGACCTTTCAACCTTTCAGGACTTTTCATGCTTCTCAAGATCGGTTTCTCAGAATGTTCTCTGCAAAACCATGCAGGGGTGCAAGTGGAAGGAGGGAGAGAGTCCTTGGACCTGAGAACCTCTGAGATTTACAGACTTTGTTAAGATAATGAAACAGCTCTGTGAACTATTCTTAGAGAAAAGTGATTCTGTGTGTAAATTTTAAGTGTACTTGGTGATATTATGCTCAGAATACTCTATTCTCACCCTACTGAGGTATTTTATTTATTTAAACAAACCCATCAGTCCTTGTGGTATATTTACTTAGCACTTTATTTAATTGAATTGCTTCATTTGGGAAAACTTACCGACTCATATGGATTTATGCCTTGTTTGGGGCAGTTAGCCCTTGAGGGTGAAGTATTTCTCAGTGTCACTGTGCATAACAGAGATATTAATAATAAATGAATTTGTTAGTTCTTGCAGTAAAACAAGTATCCTCTATAGGCTGGTTACATCCCACATCTATTTAGCATTGGTATAAAAAGACATATGAGAAACGGTTCTGCACTCAAAGAGCTCTTACTTGAGGGCCAGAGACATGCTTGTAAGGCAGTAATGTACAAATCATGGAAAACTCTAGTGTGATAACTTAGCAGAAAATGCTTGTTTTGATGATATCAGAGAACCCATTTCAAAAGCAGTAACATTTGATTTGAGTCTTGATAGGTAACGAGGTTTCCTGACTAAAGAACAGGAGACAAGTGCTGTCTGCCCAGGGTATTTGTAGAGGGTGTGAGAAGACCAGCAGCTGGTGGTGGGTGGGGCTGGAGGGCTGAGATTAGAGACAGGCTGGGCCACACCGGGCAGCATGTGCCAATCTAAGCCGTTTCAGCTTTCTCCTGGGCAGTGGTCAGCCATGTACATTACATGCATGCTTCCCTTCACTACATGTTCTTTTATATTGAATAAGGAGGAATGTGTAATACATTAAGATAGCCTTCATAGGAAGATTCTGCCCCTAATTTGTTGTTTATGTGACTTTCTATGCCAGCCACCCTCCCCTCTTCCTCTTACCTAGAAAAGAAATGGGTGTCCACTTCGTTTACAGTGGTCTCTACTGATGGAATTTGGGAGAAACACCCCCTTTTGAAAGGAAAAAAAAATCGTTCTTTGCCAATTACTGCTGTGTACCTTCCTGGTTATATTCTCAAAGGAAACTAATGTCATCTTGTATTAGGGTACTCTAGAGGGACAGAATTAATAGGACAGATGTATGTTAAAGGAGAGTTTATTAAGGAGTATTAACTCACACGATCACAAGGTGGGGTCTCACAGTAGGCCATCTGCAAGCTAAGGAGCAAGGAAGCCAGTCTGAGTCCCAAAGCTGAAGAACTTGGAGTATGATGTTTGAGGGCAGGAAGCGTCCAGCACGGGAGAAAGATGGAGGCTTGGAGGCTAAGCCAGTCTAATCTCTCCACGTTCTTCTGCCTGCTTTTTATTCTGGTCACGATGGCAGTTGATTAGATGGTGCCCACCCGGATTGAGGGTGGGTCTGCCTCTCCGAGTCCACTGACTCAAATGTTAATCTCCTTTGGCAGCACCCTCACAGACACACCCAGGAACAATAGTTTATATCCTTCAGTCCAATCAAGTTGACATTGAATATTAACCATCACACAACTGAAGCTGGTAAATTAAAAAAATTTAAAACTCCCAGAATTTATCTTCTCTTCCCAGTTGAATAGGCCTTGGTACGAATTTTAGACGGCTTCTTTGACAGACTTTTCTGTGGGCCTGTCCCTGTGGACTGGCTTTCTGTCTGTTCTGCTCTTGCCCATTCACTTATTCATATCCTTTGTAACTCTGAAGGGCATCTGCCCTTGACTCTGGCCTTGGGGGACTTGGTGAATGTAGGGCCCATCTGGGCTAAGGGTCAGAGTTAAGTCTTCTGATGTTGGTAAAATAAGACAGTTGAAGCCTTCCCCCCTTCCCTTTTATGCCTCCAAAAAAAAAAACCAAACAAACAAACAAGGAAAAAAAAAAAGTGAGGCTAGAGTAACTATAAATAACACAAATTAACAGATTTCATGCCAGCACAATGTGCCTGTTGGCCAAGAAGCAGCACTTCTTATAGCTCCTGTATGGCTCCTGTACAGTGTCACTCCGGGTGTAGCACGATGCACTCTTGGGCATTCCTGGTATCTGTCCATCATGGAGGGTTTGGTAGGGTCCAGGGCCTCAAATGGAAATGGTCGGGAACTGATAGACCCTTAACTCATCTTGTTCTGGGTTGGCAGCCTCGAGTGCACATGTCAGTGTCTGCCCAAGAGGCTGTATTCTTATATGTCATATGCTTTAAGAATCAGTCTTCAAGTTGATACTATTTTTCTAAGTGATTTGGAAGATTGAATTGAAAGACCATTGTTGGAAGGCAATGGCAGCAAGTAGAATGTGGCATTTATGAAGAATTGGGTTCCGTTAAAAAATGAGTGTAGCAAAAACCAGACAGTCAGGTAAAAGGGGAAGAAAAATCTGTTAATGTTTATTTGGCAGGTAATTGTTGCTGAGATGTTTACTTAATGTTGGAAGACATGGAAGATGGTAAGAATAATCCCACAGGCTCTGAGCAGGTGGAATAGGCTGTATGCAAGTAAGAAGCCCTGAGCAAGTGAAACCCTACCCAATAAAGAGGTCTAGCAAAAAGTACAGTTCATGCTCTGTCATGTATAATGCATGTGCCTATCAGAAAATAGCCTGTTACTACAGTTATGCCACCATTAGCATAAATGCCACCATTAGCAGAATTACATTTTAATGTAATTATTGATATAGTTGAACTTAGGTCTCCAATTTTGCTATTTGTTTTCTGTTTATCTCCTTATTTTGTTATTCCTGATCCTCCTTTCCTGCCTTCTTTAGTGCTAACCAATTTTTTTCCATGTATCTTTCTGTTTTTAGTTTTATTTCTTTTTTAAAGTGATTGCTCTAAAGATTGTAACATTCATCTTGGATTTATCACAATATACTTAAAGTTGATGTAGAATTGCTTCTGTGGTGATACAGGAAGCTTGCAACAGTGTACTTCCATCTGTCCAGTCCTTTGAGCTGTCCTTGTCAGGTTCAGCCTCTGCCTGTGATTGGGACCCCTGGTGGGTTTTGAGCAGAGTGATATCAGGAGCAGCTATTGCTGTTAGCTGTTCCTGTTAGCAGTACCTCCAGACCCACTGATTATTCTAATAGAGCAGTATTCAATTCTAGTTTTTAGCAAGTTTTTAAAAACTTTGAGTGCATGGTTTTCACTGTTTAAAAATAGCAATGTGTTGTCCCTTATAATTGAGAGAGATGAGCTTTAGGGTCCCTGAAAGAGAATCTCAAAAGCCCGTTTAACCAATGTGCCAGATTGCCTGACTTTTTATGACGTTTTTCTTAATTAGTGGATTTGTGTTATATTTTATTGGCTCAAAAGTGAATCCCTAGCTCATAGCTTATTTCTCAAATCACTTAGCATTTTAATTACTTTTCAATTTTTGAGATACAAGTCACATATTTTCTTTTTAAAATTAATATATGTACTTTCTCATTGTAAAAGACCTGAACTATACAGAACTGTAAGAAGTAAAAGTCTTAGTTTTCCTTCCAGAGAGAACATGTTAGGAAAATCTCTTGGCATCTGAGGAGCTGGCTGTCTATTTTTACTTCTATATTGACTAGCTCTTTTTCCTTCTAATAAAGAGTGTATATTGGTTTAAATTATACCAACTTCCTCTGGGTTTTAGAGGTTAGCTTATTTGTAGACGAGTCTACCTACCACATCTATTTCTCCTTATGGCTTAGAGCATTTTCTGATCATCAGCATAAAATTTTAGGTGCCTTATTCATTTTGCCCCAAGAATGTTCAAACTCCTCAACCTCAGAAATGTTTCTAGTAGTTGAAAGACTGTTTTGCGATTACTTTTATTGGATTCTACACAGAAGTACCCATAGCATCATTGAACTAGCTCTGTTGCATAACTGTCCTGTGTCTAAAAATACACTGCTGAGTAGCATCAGCTCTTGCCCAGGGATATGAACCCACACTCTGGGTTATTTGTACTGACTCTGACCACAGACTATCTTCCAATATATCCTGCAAAATGATCCTTTATGGAAAACACCAAACTTCTTCCAGTGAAGTCTGATACTGTTGTAGTTACTGACAGCATAACAGACTGCGCTTGTTGTTTGTTCATCCAAGTTTGACTAGCCAACATTGAAGGATTTTTTTTTTTTCTTAACAGATGAGGTCTCTCTCTGTTGCCCAGGCTGGAGTGCAGTGATGCAGTCATAGTTCACTGTAAGCTTGACCTCCTGGGCTCAAGCAATGCTCCCGCCTCAGCTTCTCAAGTAGCCGGCACTACAGGTGTGTGCTCCCATGCCCAGCTAATTTTGGTATTTTTTATAGAGACAGGGTCTTGCTGTATTGTCCAGGCTGGTCTGGAACTCCTGGCCTCAAGTGATCTTCCTGCATTGGACTCCCAAAGTGTTGAGGTTACAGATGTGAGCCATGGTGCCCGGCCAGAGGGATTTTCATAATTATATTTATACTTCTCTGAGGTCTTTGGTGTCTGGGGTTGTAGATTGTGTCCATCTGTACTTAACCCATGCACACAGAGTGTTGTTTAGTGAATCTGACTTGAAACTCCATGCAAAGTCACAGTCTTGGCTGGGTGCGGTGGCTCACGCCCTTAATCCCAGCACTTTGGGAGGTCAGGAGGTCAGGAGTTCGAGACTAGCCTGGCCAAGTTGGTGAAACCCCATCTCTACTAAAAAAATACAAAAATTAGCCGGGTGCAGTGGCAGGTGCCTGTAATCCCAGCTACTCGGGAGGCTAAGGCAGGAGAAGCGCTTGAACCCGGGAGGCGGAGTTTGCAGTGAGCCAAGATTGCGCGTCTGCACTCTAGCCTGGGGGGACAGAGCGAGACTCCATCTCAAAAAAAAAAAAAAAAAAAAAAGTCACAGTCTTTGTATTAGGGCCAGGGAGTATTGTCCAGCTATTCACTGTTTAGAGCTAATACTTCCTTTATTCCCTGTTCTATCACATAAAAAACTATAGAACCTTCTCTTGCTGGCTGTGTGTACAGTGTTACAATAATTTACAATGCTTAAAAATAGGCAGATAATTGCTCTGGGATCCAGATGTGGAGGTTGAGATGACTTTATTGGGGAATGTGTTAACATATCACAGATCGCAGCAAGGGAACTAACATTTGTGTATAAATCACTGTTACATCTTTGAGGGTTAAGGCATCTATTTTTTTATTCACTTAGAGTACCAACTAGATTTTTTTCAACTGTCATTTTGCTGCCTATTTCCATGTAAGTTGAAGGTATGATAGTCACATTTTTTTTGTTTTTGTTTGTTTTCTTTTGAGGCGGAGTCTCACTGTGTCGCCCAGGCTGGAGTGCAGTGGCACGATCTTGGCTCACTGCAACCTCTGCCTCCTGGGTTCAAGTGATTCTCCTGCCTTAGCCTCCTGAGTAGCTGGGACTACAGGCACGCATCACTACGCCGGGCTATTTTTTTTGTATTTTTAGTAGAAATGGGGTTTTGCCCTGTTGGCCAGGCTGGTCCTGAACTCCTGACCTCAGGTGATCCACCCCCCCGGCCTCCCAAAGTGCTGGGATTACAGGCGTGAGCCACCGCGCAAGGCCGCGTGTTTTTTTTTTCTTTTAATTAAGTGTATGCATACAGTTGCCATTTGCAAAATCTTACTTTCATAAATACATATTAAAATAGTGAAATAATGTCATATGAAAAGAAAAATTTAGTTTTGTTTAGAGATGCACAGAATTTCTCTTTATTTAGATGTAAACCAAAGACAATTATGAATTATTTATCAACACTTTACCTTTCAAAATAAATTAAAAAAACCCACAATTTTGTGTTAAATATGGAGGAAATAGAACGTATCACTGAGAGCCAGGTAATTTGACCAAAGAAAGGTACAGTCAATAAAATGACTTCTCTTGGATCTCTTCCTTATTCTAATCACACTTCAAGGAAGTTTTTAAATTTAAAAAAATAATTTGAATGCTATGAAAAATATTGTATAATATTTAGGAACTGTCAAGTGTAGTTTTATATCTAACTAGAAGTTAAAATATGGAAGTGTGAAAATGAAGATGAAGATGCAGAGAGTTAGTTTAGAGGAAAGAGTACTAACTTGGGAGTCAACATGCCAAGGTTCCTTTGGTCTCAGCCATGAATTAAGAAACCTAAAACAAGTCCTTTATTCTGTCTTAGCTTACTGTATCACCTTCTTTCCCTTTGGGTTTTTATTATTTTTATTGAAGCATGTATTTTCTAGTAGTTCTTAGAGTAACTATCTATAGAAGGTAAACCTAGTCTTTGTATTTCAGAAATATCTTTTGTTTCATCTTTACTCTTCCTGGGTTTGGAATTCTGGGTTAGCTGGTTTTGTCTTAGAACTTTGAAAATATGATGTTATTGCCTTCTGTTATTCATTGTTACTGTTAAGAAGTCTGCTGCCAGTCTAATTATCATTCCCTTTTAACTGTTTTTTCAGTCTGCTAGTTTTCAAGGTTTTCTCTTTATCCTTAATGTTTTGCAGCCTCACAGCAATCTACCTAGATTTGTTTTTTGTTTGTTTGTTTGTTTTTTAAGACGGAGTCTCATTCTGTCACCCAGGCTGGAGTGCAGTGGCGTGATCTTGGCTCACTGCAAGCTCTGCCTCCCAGGTTGACGCCATTCTCCTGACTCAGCCTTCCGAGTTGTGGGACTACAGGCGCCCGCCACCACGCCTGGCTAATTTTTTGTATTTTTAGTAGAGATGGGGTTTCACCATGTTAGTCAGGATGGTCTCGATCTCCTGACCTTGTGATCCACCTGCCTCGGCCTCCCAAAGTGCTGGGATTACAGGCGTGAGCCACCGCGCCCAGCCCCTAGATTTGTTTTTATCCAGTCTCTGCTTGGCACTCATTGCGAGCTTTCAGAATTGAGATTCAAGTCTTCAATTATGGCACATTTTTAGCGTTAGTTCTAGTATTGCCTCCCCACCACTCCTTCTAGCTTTATTTCTGGAAATCCTACTAGATGTGTTTCTTTTCACTCTACCTGTTATGTTACTTCACTTCTCATAGAGAGAAGTGTTTTATCTCTATTCTATACACAGAGTGAATTTAATTTACTAATTCTCTCGTTTACTGTGCTTGGTGTTGTTTCTCCCCATCTACTGACCATATATTTCATTTTCAGGATTTTGAATAGGTTTTTGTTTTCATAACTACTGCCTGATTTTGTTTCTAAAAATTTTTTTTTTTCTGGTTATTTTTCTTGTGTATCTCTTTGGAAGTTTTTTTTTTCTTTTTTTCTTTTTTCTTTTTTCTTTTTTTTTTGTTTTTGAGACAGAGTCTTGCTCTGTTGCCCAGGCTGGAGTGCAGTGGTGCGATCTCAGCTCACTGCAAGCTCCGCCTCGCAGGTTCACGCCATTCTCCTGCCTCAGCCTCCTGAGTAGCTGGGACTACAGGTGCCCGCCACCATGCCCAGCTAATTTTTTGTTAGTAGAGAGGGGGTTTCACCATGTTAGCCAATAGGGTCTCGATCTCCTGACCTTGTGATCCGCCCGCCTTGGCCTCCCAAAATGCTGGGATTACAGGCATGAGCTACCGCGCCCGGCCTGGAAGTTTTAACACATTTATATTAAAGTTGTTTTCAATTTGCCATGTTTTTATTTTGTCAGGAGAAAATTTATGTTTTGATGGTTGAGTTTTGGTTCGTTTTTCTTTTTTTTTTTTTCTTTTTCTTTCTTTTTTTTTTTTTTTTTTTTTGAGATGGAGTCTCGCTCTGTCGCCCAGTCTGGAGTGCAGTGGCGCCATCTCGGCTCACTGCAAGCTGCACCTCCCAGGTTCATGCCATTCTCCTGCCTCAGCCTCCCTAGTAGCTGGGACTACAGGTGCCTGCCACCACACCCGGCTAATTTTTTTGTATTTTTAGTAGAAACGGGGTTTCACCATGTTAGCCAGGATGGTCTCGATCTCCTGATGTCGTGATCTGCCCACCTTGACCTCCCAAAGTGCTGGGATTACAGGCATGGGCCACCGCGCCTGGCCGTCAGTCTTTCTTGAAGTTGGTTTCCCTCACAAGCTTTGGGCTTTTAGTTTAGAAGCCTGTCTTAAGTGGACTTCTTTGTCCCCCTCTGTGCCCTCACCTTTCTGGAGTGGTTTTGCTATTGTCCTCCCCAGGATCCTAGTTTAGTACATGATCTTATTTTGGAAGTTCAGGCTCCTGCCCTTCTCAGTAGTGAGTAGAGGGCCAATCTTTTCCCTTCGAAGGCTGCAGGCTCTTGAGCTTCCTCCTGCTGCCCCAGGGATGGGCTTTATCTCAGCCATAGCCTCCGGTAGTGGCCACAGACCTCTTTTCAGTTTCTTTCCACAGTGGTTTCGTGCTGCGTCATACTCGGAGCCATTTGCCTCTGCTCCCATCCTTCCTAACTGGGGTGTGCCTTTGGCCTCTTCCTGTTTCTGAACAGTAGAGCTGTGGCCTCAGCCTTATCGCCAGGCTCTGTTGTTGTACCATGTGTCTTGTTTGTTCTGTTGGTAAACATGCCTGCCTTCCTTGCTTCCTTCCATCCTCCCATCTATCATTGCTACCATTTGCCATAGTGAGTGATACGTAAAACCTGAACTCACAAGGCATTTTGCCCAGAAATTGTCTTAGCTTCTTGGTCTTTACTAAATAATCTCAAGGTCCCGTCCAGCTCCAAAAATTCTAAGTTGCCGTATACACAGCAAGAGAATTTACCTATGACCAATCACTTTCCTGTCCTTATGCGTCTGGGCCAAACAGTCTCATGAATTATTGATCGCAGAAGATGTCCAAAGTATTGTGGCCTCTGCAGAAGCTTTTCCAGTTTTATTTGCCTTCCCAATTCTTATTTTCTAAGCTGGACTTTGCTTTTGGATTGAAAAAAAAAAATCTGAATAACGCTTTGGGTCCTGTTGGCTCCAAGACCACATCCATGGGAATGGAGTTGGCCACTGTCACCTCTTTTCTTTCTCAGTACCCACCTGCTTTCCTCTGACCTGGCTTCAGAGACCTGGATGCTCCCGGAAACAGCTTCTTGGGCACTGAGGACTCATTTGTACTTTCTCTTAGGAAGTTATAACATATTGTTCAGCAAGCTATTTTAATGTGGCCCAGAGGGGACTCAAGAGGGTAGGAGGAGGAGTCGTCAGCCAGAAGGAGGTAGAATTCACTTTTTTACAAGCTTCTAAAGTCTCTTCATAGATGATTGCTGGAATTGTTTGTTTGTTTGTGTTTTACGAATGATGTTTAATAAAGAACTGCCAAAACTGCAGTTAGCATTTTTTGAAAAATAAATAACTTAGTAAAGAAGCAGCCATATGGTATCTGTTTAGAACTGGAAGTGCAGAATCTGTTTTCAAAAATAGACCTACAAAAAGACTGAACACAAACCAAAAACCCTTCCACCTTAATAAAAATAATTCATGGTTAATTTTTTTAAAGATGTATGAATTTAAAACTTTTACAGCTAGTACATTAAATTTGGCAAGTAGAAATTCTGAGGAAGAATGAATTTGATTCCGTCAGGTGGTTCTCAAAGATTCTTTTATTGTGAACTTTCTAAGTAGAAGAAAGAATTGTAAGGCCGGTGCGGTGGCTCACACCTACAATCCCAGCACTTTGGGAGGTTGAGGTGGGAAGATCACTGAAGTTCTGGGTTTTCCATCCAAATATCCCACTTCAGGAACTGCAGGAGTTTGAGACCAGCCTGGGCAACATGGTGAAACCCTGTCTCTACAAATAATACAAAAAAAAAAAAAAATCAAATCTGGGCGTGGTGGGATGTGCCTGTAGTCCCTCCCAGCTACTCGGGAGGCGAGGTATGAGGATCACCCAAGCCCATAGATCGAGGCTGCAGTGAGTCACTCCAGCCTGGGTGACCCTGTCTCCAAAAAAAAAAAAAAAAAAAAAAGGAGCTTCCTGAATCTGACAGATTGAGTTGTACGTGGACATTTGAGCTTTCCGTAAATTTTCTTTCTGTGATTCCTCTTGATTGGTTTGTCTGTAAAAGATTATCATTATCTGAAGAGTAATTATCTAAAAGTATGATTTGAATTTTTGCATAAAAAATTATCATTAATGGTAAAATGATTTGTATCGGAATTGAGTTGTTTTCTTCATTTTAACTTCATTTATTTATTTATTTGAGACAGAGTCTCGCTGTCACCCAGGCTGGAGTGCAGTGGCGTGATTTTGGCTCACTACAGCCTCCACCTCCAAGGTTCCAGCGATTCTCATGCCTCAGCCTCCCAAGTAGCTGGGTAGTTTAACTTCTTGATTCAGCAAAATGTTCTTAGCCCTTTTGAACAGCATGTGACAGGCCATTTGTCTTATAAAGCATATCAGGAATCTATCTCTAGTAGTGTTTCACGGCATTTGTGAACTGGGGTAGTTAACTCAGTTGGTTAAACCCCTCTGTTGGAGCTTCAGCCCCTGGATTGACTGGTTCATTTCTTTCAGTTTTCTGCACACAGAGCCTTCGTCTTAAAAGAGGAATGGATCCTCACAGATCCATCCCAGTTATGAAAGCAATTTCAGGGTATACAGCCTGGGGATGGAATGTATGTCAGTACCATTTTCATTAAAATATACACACATACTCTCTTTTTCTTTTTTAAATACATAAAAATTACATACAGTTGTTGCCTATGGTGGGACAAGCAAGAAATTTAACATTTTTAATCTTTGTAGTAATTGCATAGTATTTAATAGATTATTTTATCATGTAGTCTAGGTCTCTGTGCAGCCATAACCTCACAGAAAAATGTGCTATGATGTAGTTTAACCTGTCTTGAAGGTGTTTGTTGGAGTTATTTTATTTTATAGTGCCACAGAAATGTGCCAAATTTCAAGAAGTGTCTCTATTTATATCTTATTAGAATTCATTTAAAAAATACAAATAGATTTTCATGCAAAGGTCATGATTATAACTTCAAAAGAGCCTTTATTTTATGCAGCTTTTATTTTGTTATAATGTCTTACAGGGAATGTCATTTTACAAGGGAGGAAAATTGAGTATCAAGCTGCTTTGAGTGACTGGGCTCAGTGGCTCACACCTAGAAATTCCAGAACTTTGGGAGGCCAGACTGGGAGGATCGCTTGAGCCTAGGAGTTTGAGACCAGACTAGGCAACATAGTGAGACCCTGTCTCTACAAAAAATTAAAAAATAAAATAATAGCTGGATATGGTGGCATGCCTGTAGTGCCAGCTACTTGGAAGATTGAGGTGAGATCATCACTTAAGCCAGGGACATCACGGCTGAAGTGAGCCTTGATTATGTCACTGCACTTCATCCTTGGGCAACAGAGTGAGACCTGGTCTCAAAATAAAAGGAGGCTTTAAGTTAGCCTCTGATTCACAATGAGGCAGAAATGGGATCCTGAGACGCAGAGCATTCATTTGGGTGGAAAACCTTGTTATATTTTGCACTGGGACATTTTCACATGAGATTTTCAAAGGCGGGAGCTGAAGTGGTGTGTTTTTAAAAGCAAGGTACAGAACAGACAATGCTATCATTTGGTTTTAGAAAATCTATACGTGTTTGCTTCTACATGCATGGAATATCTCTGGAAGGATATGCAAGAAACTGGTAATAGTGGTTGCCTCTGGGAAGAGAACTAGGTGGCAAGCAGACAGAGGGGGAGGGAGATTTGCTTTCTCTGCATCCCTTTTCCATCTTTGACTTTTGTACCATGTACATGAGATGCACATTCAAAAAATAAATAACAGTCTGGTTGCAGTGGCTCAAGCCTATAATTCCAGCACTTCAGGAGGCCGAGGCAGGCAGATAGCTTGAGCCCCAGGAGTTTGAGACCAGCCATGGTCTCAAACTAGGGCAGCATGGAGAAACCCCATCTCTATAAAAAATACAAAAACTAGCTGGGCATAGCTGGGCATCGTGGCGCATGCCAGTGGTCCTGGCTACTTGGGAGGCTGACACAGGAAGATCACTTGAGCCCTGGAGGTCGAGGCTGCAGTGAGTCAAGGTCATGCCACTGGCCCGGCATGGTGGCTCACGCCTGTAATCCCAGCACTTTGGGAGGCTGAGGCGGGCGGATCACCTGAGGTCAGGAGTTCGAGACCAGCCTGGCCAACATGGCGAAACCCCATCTCTACTAAAAATACAAAAATTAGACGGGTGTGGTGGCAGGCACCTGTAATCCCAGCTACTCAGGAGGCCGAGGCAGGAGAATCACTTGAACCCAGGAAACAGAGGCTGCAGTGAGCCAAGATCGTGCCATTGCACTCCAGCCTGGACAACAAGAACAAAACTCCATCTCAAAAAAAAAAAAAAAAAAAAAAAAAAGATTGTGGCACTGCACTCCAGCCTGAATGACAGAGCAAGCCTCTGTCTCAAAAAGCAAAAATAATAAATAATAAAAATACCCAAATTACATAAGTCTTCAGAGTGGACTTATTCAAACATAATGAAATCTGTTTGTATTTCTTGTTTCTTTTACTTGAGAGGTATTATTAGGGAACATTATTATGAACTGCATATGGAAGATAATCTTGAAACTGTTCATCAGAGAATTGATTCAAAGTGGTATATTAGGACAGAAAACCCAGATACCCAAGTTTAAGCAGGGGTACCCTCACTAGATTGTTGGGGCAAATTGTGCAGAGGTGACAAAATGTGGGTGGAGTCAGATAGTAGCTCTGACATTAGGCAGTTTATTTGAAGTCTCTGTTTCTCCATTTTCTCTTCTAGAAAACAGGGCAAATGTGGTAGACATCCACTGTTTTTGACATCCTGCAAGTGAGCTGAAATCGTGCCACTGCACTCCTGCATCCTGCATCCACTGACCCCTCGTGCCAGTTCTAGCTCCCTTACAGGCTCCTGCCAGAGGTCCAGTTCAGCTGTGGATGGCTGATGACCTCGCCTAAGCTTTACTTTTTCCTGGAAACAGCAAAATGGAATCATGGAGTGGGATCATGACCTTCTCAGAACAGTGAGATACAGAGACACTTTAGATAGCACATGAGGAAAAAAATATCGTTCTTTCCCACTAGACTTAAATGAGAGGAGAGTGAGAGGTTTGAGTAACATTCTTCCACAATTCTAACAGTAGAAACTGGAGACAAAGCCCACACGGAGGAGAACTGGGAGCATGGAGTGAGATGGGGCCCTAGTGACACTGGCTGGGCTGGCTTGAGCCACAGCTGAAGCTCATTCGGCCCCTGGAGATGATTAGCCTCCCTACTTCAGGAGCCAGTTCACTTTTTGGCTCTAGTTTCTGTCATATGTGTTAGAAATCAAAATCCCAACTGATACAGGGTGATATCAGTTAAATATTAGTATTATTTGATCATTAAATGACGTGTTTATGAAGTGCACTGCCTGTCGTATGGAAAGCACTCAGTGGTCATTTTTAGAAAATTTGGTGAGAAGTCCACCTCACATTTCACTAATAACTTATTCTAAAGTGAAGTGGAGGCTGACAAGAGAGATTATAACAGCGTCTTTTGTTCCTTAAAGTGGTAGAAGTAAGGCCAAATACTTTAAGATAAAATAAGTCAAAATAAGTCTTTTTTGGTATTTTACAGCCAAGAAGCACTAGATCTGCATAGGTTCAGAGTAGAGGCCATTTGAAAGTATTCATTTGAGAATAGATTTGAATCCCCTGTTGTTTTCTAGTTTATGTTTGTATGTTTGAGACAAGGTCTCTTTCTGTCAGCCAGACTGGAGTGCAGTGGCACGATTTCAGCTCACTGCAGCCTCAACCTCCAGGGTTCAGGTGATCCTCCCACCTCAGCCACCTGAGTAGCTGGCACTACAGGCACATGCCACCATGCCTGGCTAATTTTTGTATTTTCTATAGAGATGGGGTTTCTCCATGTCGCCCAGGCTGGTCTCAAACTCCTAGGCTCAAGCGATCTGCCCACCTCGGCCTCTCAAAGTGCTGGGATTACAGGCATAAGCCACCATGCCAAGCCATTTTCTAGTTTTTTTTTTTTTTTTTTTAATACAATTCCATTCTATCTGCTTTTTTTTTTTTTTTTAAAGAAAAAGCTATTTGGGTGACTTCAAAAAAAACAAAAACAGTAGGAATTCAACAATAGCAAAACAGGAAAGGACTGATCAGGCTCTCTGAAGAGGACAGTCTATGACTGCATGATGATTTTAACTACCTTCCTTCTTCTCCAGATCCTCCAAGGCAGAAAATCAGAAAAGCAACTAGAGAGATGGAAATGGATTTTTTTTTTAAGTAAAGCATTTAACATTGAACCACAAGACTTACTGAGTTATGTAATAGCAGAAATATCATTGTTGATTTTGTGACATGTCAGTGCTTTCCTAAAAGTGCAGTGTGGCATATTTTTTAAAGATTAAATTGAATTAAATATCAATTTCTATTTTAAGAATTTGAGTAGTGTGAGATAATTGGAAAGGCCCCGGAGTGTTTCAGTAATGGTTGAGAATCATTGTTCTTAATAATAGAAGTGAACTCTGAAATGCCAAGCATTTTATATACTCTGGCTAACCTATCTTTAAAGTAATAATGTTTCTAATGCACTGGAGCTCATGGCCCCCATTGGCAATCACCTTGACTCTTCCCCTCAGGACTTTCATATGATGATCTCATCCCAGCTCCACCATATTTCTAAAGTGTCATCTTTTATTACCAGGAAGTGTAATCTGCAATATATGGTTTTGTTTTTGTTGCTTCATTACTTTCATATTCTGAAAAAATAGCACACACTATAGCAAATTAGCAAACGTTAGGCATATAAAGAACTAGGAAATCGAGTTGATATTTAGCTTGTTTTTATGCAACAGTAATGGAAACTTTTAGCATTGTGTATCAGCATGTGCTACTAATATCAAACAAGGTCTCACCAACTTAACACTGCTCAGACAGAAAACTTGAAGATTAAAGTAGGTCATGAGTAGAGTGGGATGGGAGTTGAACTGTAAATAAAGGCTAAGTCAGGTTCTTGGAGAGAAGGTTCTTAAACATCAGTGAAAATGTAGTCTACTAATGATGCTAATAGGAGTTTCAACAACAACAATAATAGCTTATGCCCATGTAGCTCTTACATGGCTACGTTCTAGGCACTTTACCTGCATTAACCTGTTCAGTCAACCCTCCAAGGCAGGGACTTCATCAGGAAGCAGAGGCAGGGGTTAAGTGACTTGCTCCCACTGCACTTGGAAAGTGGAGGAGCTGGCGCTGTTCACCACCTCTTGTCCTGTCTCCTTCTGGAGCATTCCTTTGACAAGCCACCGCTTGAAGAAGCCAACGTGACTGCTGCCAAGGAGACTGAGTGAACAGTTAGAGTGTGGCAGTCGAATCAGTCATCGTCGTCATCGTGGATGGCTTTGCACTTGGACCAGAATTGAAAAACAATTTGTTCAGTTCCACTTACAAACTATGGAGTTTATCTCCACGTGGTAATACTGTCTTAATGAAATTAATACTTTTCAAGGAGAAGACATTTGGATTAAACAGGTTATGGTGACCTTAGGTATCTGAAAGGCTAACTCCTCCAAGAAGCTGCCTTTGTTCTCCTGAGTCCACAAAGATTTTTCCCCAGAACTTATTTATAATACTCATTCATCAACTACCTTGTCATATAGTGTGTTTGTAGCATTCTTTCCATGTTAATATATTCAGCAAATGTTTATTGAGTCCTTGCTGTGTTCTGGTGGTTGAAGACATGGATTTAGGACAAACTGGGTCCTTGAAAACTCGGTAGGTTTCATATGGGCGGGGAGACAGGAGACCTTACTAATGAGAATAGGGTGTGCAGTTGTCTTGAGATGAGTGTGAGAAAGGCTTAATTTTCTTAGCTTCAAACTAGGAAACTATGAATCTCTATGTTGACATGTCCTGCTAGTTGGAAATCTTGATTACACAGACTGTATCTTGACTTATTTTAATAGTGCCGTTAGGATACTATTAATAACATAATGATGCAAAGTCCTGCTCAGATGCAGATATTCATCAGAAGTAAACAGCAGCCAAGCACAGTAGTGCCCCTATAGCCCCAGCTACGTGGGAGGCTGAGACAGGAGGATTGCTTGAGGCCAGGAGTTCAAGCCTGCAGTGCACTATGATTGCGCCACCGCATTCCAGCCCGAATGACAGAGTGAGACCTTGTCTTTAAAGAAAAAAAAAAAAAAAAACAAGAAGTAAATAGCAGACATTTTCCAGGAATTGGTAGTGTGGATATATTGCAAATATGGGTGGTATTTTCTGGGCTTTATTGGTTTTCCAAAATGGGAAGAAATTGGGGAAGAGTTTGAAACTCTGAGAAGCTACTTCTTTAGTCTTCTTTTGTATTCTCTCATGGGCGCTCTGCCGGATCAGGGAGGAGACTTGTCACAGGAATAGAAGAGTGCAGGGGTTTTGCTTCTAGCCTGCTACTGACTTAGGCAACACAGCTTATTCCTTTTTTCCCATGTAATTTCAAAAACTCACTGTTTTACTTCTTAAAGTCTTAGAAGTGGACAAAGCTGTTTATAAGAGCAGTATCCTTTTCCAATAGCAGTATCCTTTTCCAATAGCAGTAACAATGAACATAGGAAATACCATACTAGCACCAGCTGCCATTAGAGAAGAGTTCCTGGTTTCAGCTTTTCAGCCGTGAATTTACTCATGAATGGTACCTCCTGGGACTCATATTTTTGTTTTAAAACAGGTTTGAAATGTAACATTTTTCCAAAGTAGCTTATTAAGGACATTTAAAAATTTATTTTCATAGTTATCAAGGTGTTATTTTTTCTTTAACATTGTGGACTTGCTATGCTTACCTAAGCCAAGTGTTAAAGAAGTTAAGGCTGGGCATGGTGGCTCACACCTGTAATCCCAGCACTTTGGGAGGCCGAGGCGGGCGGGTCACTTGAGGTCAGGAGTTTGAGATCAGCCTGGCCAACATGCAGCAACTCTGTCTCTACTAAAAATACAAAAATTAGCCAGACGTGGTGGTGGGTGCCTGTAGTCCCAGCTACTCGGGAGGCTGAGACAGGAGAATTGCTTGAACCCAAGAGGCAGAGGTTGCAGTGAACCGAGATCGCACCATGGCACTCCAGCCTGGGCAGACAGAGTGAGACTCCATCTCAGAAACAAAAAAGAAGTTAAGTAATGAAGTTGGAATTTTTAATTTAGTATGTTCTTTTTTGTTGGCAATTCAGCGTGTTCCTTTTTTGTCCATTCATCAACCACTTGTTGAGTTTCTCCTGCATATTAACATTTGCCACTGTGAATAAAACGATAAATGAGAGGTGGTCTTTCCCTCAGTGATGGAGTGGTTTGGTGAGGAGACAGGACACACAGTTCCAGTGTAACCAGACAGGTGAGGAGGATGAGAAGGGTGTGCAAGGTGCAGAAGAACAGGAGTGAGAGGTGTTTCCTCTGGGGATGGAAGAAGTTAATCAGGGAAAAGTGTACAGGGAAAGTTACATTTGATCTGAGTTTTGAAGGAGGAAAAGACACAGACCATCACTGAGTGGTAAGAAGAAGGCTAGCTTTATCTTGAGAAGGAGTTTGTAAGAAACACTGTAGGGTAAAATGCACGCTGCTTAGTTTCATTAGCAAGTGCTTATTAAACAGCTACTCCTGACCTTGGATGGTGTTTGGAGTAAACTAATATATATAATACAGAAATATGTAGGGATCCCCATGAACAAGAACCCAGGCTAGATTTAAGAAGCCAGAGTAGTGGGGGCAAAGAATAGTGTGACTGAAAGTAATTAAACTTAAAAATATTTTGTCATGGGCAGGAACAAGGGAGATCATTGTGGCTTGATGGAAGTGAGGAGACAGGCTTACGACCTGCGGGATGGCTCTGCTTTGCTAGCTAGGGCTGGGATTTCAGGTCAGGGAAGAGCAGGGGCATGAAGGCCGGAAACTGTGGACGATGGGGGAAGTGAGGACAGCAGCTGGAGGAGCAGAGCATTAGTGGCTGTCACCTGCTGACCCAGCCCCCTTTTCCCTGCACCTCCTCTCACCTGCCTCCACTCATGTTGCAGTTGTCTATTGGATAGCACGTCACTCCAGACTCAGTTACTTAAAAAAGCGGTAACCATTTCTCTCTCATGGGTTCTGGATCAGGAACTTGGGAGCATCCTACTGGGCACTTCTGGCTTAGCATCTGTCATGAGGCCACAGTCGAATGGTGGGTGGGTGTTGCTGGGCATGTGGAAGGCTCTTCGTCCCATGTCTGGTGCCTACACTGGACAAAGCCTCCTGCTGAGCACCTCTGCCTCTCTCTTTGTGGCCGATCCACGTGGCCTCTTCCGCATCCCCGGCTCCAAAGGCATATGTCCGGGGGGAGAGAAATATGGGAGGAAGGAGCACCACCTCTTCTACGTCACCCTGAAAGTCACACAACATCTCCTCCATTGTAGTCAGAAGCCCACCAGATTCAAGAGGAAAGAACTTAGATCCCACCTCTCAAGAGGGAGGTTTCAGTGTCACAATTGAAGAAGAGCGTGTGGAGTGAGATCTGTTAGTGTGGGCGTCTTTGGGAAATGCCATCTGCCACAGCCTCAGAGGCTGGAAGGGCTGCCTGCATGCTTTCTCAGCCTCTGTTGTGGGATATCAATGAGACATAGGAGAAGTTGGCTGGAGCCCTGGGAAAACTTTTCCACATAACAGGAGCAGATGTGGCAGTCTCTGTCTCATGCTTACCCTGTTGAATGTGGCTGTCAGGCCAGTAGCTGCGGCAGCCATCCCATGACCACAGGGAGCAGCTGAGGGACTCAGGGCAGCTGTCTCTGACACCTGTGACAGCCACTGGAGAATGACAGCAACTGCCTACCTCGAGGCTGTTTGATGGAAAAGTAAAACTGCTTGTCTGAGACACTGTTACTTGGGTTTCTGTTGCTTATACCTGGATGTCTTTCTCATTGATCTGGTATGTGATATTACATAATATGGGATAGGTGAGGTGGTAAGATTTTTAAATTATTGCTGTGTAAAAGTAGTTAAAATTTTAATGGGCAGTGGGAAGCCATTGAGATTTCTGTACAGAGAGCAGTCCATGTGCTTATGAAGCACCCAGCACGCCTGCCACGTGGCCAGCACTGTCTTACACACACAGTAACATCTCTGTGGCTAAGTAACTTACAGTTTACTTGGAAAGAGAAAAACAGGTGAGTGATAACACCCACCACATAGGTATGATTTTATATGTGCCAGGTATTATGCTACAGATGTGGCATGAACTATTGCATTTAAACCTTAGGAGTATTACATGAGGAAGACACTCTTATCCCCATTGCTTTTATAATGAGGAAACAGATATTTAGAAAAGTTGAGTAGCTTGCCTAAGTTTAAAGGTAATCCATTTTGTGTAATGCAATGCATTAATTGTAATGTAAATGTAATTTGCCCTAGAATTGCAGACATTTCAAATCTTCACTTGACAATTATTTAACACATACATTGAGGCTCTAATTTGTGCTAGACACTATGCTGAGTGTTGAGAATATGGAGATGAGCATGATAGGGCTCCTGCCTTTGAAGAGCCAAGTCTAGCGGGTGGCTGACTTCTGCGTGACCACATTTGGGATGGAACAAGACATTTATTGAGGGTCTACCACGTACTAGGACTTTTTTTTTCCTTTTATTTCCACTGTGCTCAGAGACTCAAGTACTAGGAATATAATGTTTTAATGCACTGAGTTAAATTTTATAATGGTTATATATTGTAATATGAGAAACCATTCCAAAACACAGTACTTAAAACAACTGTTTATTTAGCTCAGGATTCCGTGGGTCAGCAGTTGGCCTGGGCTGAGCTAGGCGGTTCTTACACTCTCAGCTAGACTCAGTTATGTGTCTGGTCAGCTGCATTCAGCAAAACAGTTCTTCTCTGAGGGCTGATAGGCTCTCAGCTGGAATGTCAGAGGCAGCTAGGCCACATGTCTCTCTTTGTCCAGTAGGCTAGCCTGGGCTTGCTTTCAGTCTGCTGGGAAAACACGGTTCTGAGACAGAAGAGAAGCCCATTAAGTTCTCTGAAGGCCTAGGCTTGGAACTGGCACATCCTCTCTTCTGCAGCATTCCGTTGGCCAAAGTCACAGGATGAGCCCAGATTCAAAGGATAAAGAAATAGCCCTGACCTCTTGAAGGAAGGAGCTGCAAAGTCACATTGCAAGGCGGGAAGAAGATGAATTGTGACCATTTTTGCAATCTGCAAAATTGTATACCAAATTTTATTATAATAATGTATACCAAGCATATTAAGACTTAAAAGGAAAGAATAATTTTAGGGTTTCTATCTTGGGAGCATGGTGATATTATATATAAAAATTGAGCAGTTAGGATGGGGGAGCCAGTTTTTTTTTTTTTTTTTTTTTTGGTGGGGGTGGGGGTGGGAGATGGAATCTCGCTCTGTTGCCCAGACTGGAGTGCAGTGGTGTGATCTCAGCTCACTGCAACCTCTCCCCCACCTCTCCAGGTTCAAGCGATTCTCCAGCCTCCCGAGTAGCTGGAATTACAGGCATGTGCCACTGTGCCCGGCTGATTTTTGTATTTTTAGTAGAGACAGGGTTTCACCATCTTGGCCAGGCTGGTCTTGATCTCCTGACCTCAGGTGATCTGCCTGCCTCCGCCTCCCAAAGTGCTGGGATTACAGGCATGCGCTACCGCGCCTGGCCAGGGGAGCCAGTTTTGAGGGGAAGATAAATTCAGTTTGGAAATGTTGAGTTTGAGGCGACAGTAGGTTATCCACATAGAAGTGAACTTGTATTTAATTGAAAATTTGGACCTGGAGAAGTCAGGGCTCAAGAGAGAGCATTTTGGAATCATCTTCCCAGGGCTGGTGGGTAGATTCATGAGAATGATGCCACTTTAGAGCAAGAAGGGCAGAAATCTAAGTTTTGTGTGGGAAGCAGCCTGTCCTTAGGAGGTCCAGAGTGAACAGAGAGACCAGTTAGGAGGCTGCTGGAGCCGTCTGGGAGAGAGTCCAGGCTGGCGGCATAGGTGTGATGTGAAACTGGCTGGATTCGGGATGTATTCTGAAGGTAGAGTTGACAGGACTTACCAGTGAATCACAGTTGAGGTGTGAGAAGACTCAAACTTCCTGGTCTAATGAGTTGGATGATGGAGTTGCCATTTACTGAGGTAGTTCTCCTCATATGAACCTGTGGCCAGAGTTGCCCCAAAAGCAGTGGTAGGGAAGTTTTCTCAAGGGATTGCCCCAACTCTCTTGAGGTAGGGCCAGTGAGGATTCCAGAGAAAGAAGCACTAAACGCTAGAGTGCTCAGTCCAGAGCAGTTATTAGGGGACTTATGGACAGAGTGCTGCAGCAGTTCTTGAGACTGGACTGATAGTAAAAAGAGGTTCTACCTGGGCATGTCCACAACGATGGGGCAGAGTGTAATGTTTCATGACGGTTTAAAGAATGTGGCTCAGGGAGTGGGAGCTAGTTTCTACGTGTTTAGCCTTGTGGTTGATCTTTCAGTGTTTCAAGCGATAACCTCAACAACTGTATCAGTGCTTGGGAGTATTCAAGATTGCGGCTTGGGTTCAGACCTACAGGGAAAAATATGCAGCTGCCAGAGACAGAGGGTCCAGGTACTCCATGCTTCTCGATCAGGACAAAGAAAGAAAGTGAGGGGAGGGGGACCTGGGAGACCCTACAGTGTTTGGGACAGGCATTCCAGAGCTCTGCTTTGAACTTGTGAAGTTTGAGATCCCTGTTTGACATTGAAATGGAGATGGTAAGTGGGCAGTTTGACAAAGCAGTCTGGAGTTAGGGAGGAGATACAGGCTGAAGATTAAAAACCGGGGCATCAGACTGGATGAAGTCACCCAGTGGTTGCCCTAGTGGATGATTAGGGCTGGGATAGGCTGGTAGCAGCAGGAATAGAGAGTGAGAATTTCAAGAGTTGTTTAAAAGAACAATGAAAAGGACTTGGTGGTAGACTTGATTTAAGGTCTGAAGGGAAAGGAGGAACTAAAGATGCTGCCTAGGTCCGACAAAGAGTTTGAAAATAAAAGTGGACAAGCTTCCTGGTTTCATTTACTTTAGGGTCTTGTCCACAGTTTTTATTTTAATATTTTATACATTAAAACTGTGATCAGTTGAGATTTCAGTATACTTTGAGGCTCTCCACAAAGGTTCAGCAAGAACTACGGACAGCCCCTTGCCGGCATCCAAACTGTACAGTTCCCTTTGCTTTGGCAATAACGTATTATGCTGAATCAATGTTTCTCAGCCCTTAAATGGCCTTTCTGTGCTTAGCAGCCATGTCCTCAGTAGCTCAGTTGGTTCTCTCTCACAACAACTTTCAAGTAAAACAAAAGGCTAGAAGAAATGTTCTTGACCTGGGTTTTGTGTGTACTGAAGGGCAGGGCAATGTGGTAAAGGTTATTTGCATAGAAAGTTGGGGAGATTGTGTAGACTTGGGGGCTTACACAGATGACTTTCTATTTAATAAGAGCCCAGATGCAATATGCCAGGCTTCAGATAAAAAGACAGGAGGCCAGGCATGGTGGCTCACGCCTGTATCCCAGCACTTTGGGAGGTTGAGGCGGGTGGATTACCTGAGGTCAGGAGTTCGAGACCAGCCTGGCCAACACGGTGAAACCCTGCCTCTACTAAAAATACAAAAATTAGCCAGGCATGGTGGAACACGCCTGTAGTCCCAGCTACTCAGAAGGCTGAGGCAAGAGAATTACTGGAACCCAGGAGGCAGAGGTTGCAGTGAGCCGAGACCACGCCACTGCACTCCAGCCTGGGCGACAGAGCAAGACTCTGTCTCCAAAAAAAAAAAAAAAAAAGAAGAAGAAGAAGAAAGAGGTTTCAAACAGCCATCTTTGCCTGAGGCTCTTGTCCTGACACGGACAGTGGTGGCATGCTGGTTCTGCCAACTTGGAAGGGGAGCCCTTCCGAGTCCCATGATGGCATATGTAAGTTAGCAAGGCTTCCTGAAGGTGGGTGGGTTGTAATTTATTTGTACATTTGGCTCTGATTCTTGGTGATTTTGGGAGAAACGACTGCAGGCAAGAAGATAGGTGCTTTATGGTTGTTTTTTTTTTTAACTTAACACTGAGTTTTTTCTCTCAAAGTAGTGTTTCTTTGATTCTGACTTCTTCTGTGCCTCCACAAAGTAAATACAGCACCATAATATCATCTGAGCGTCTGTTCTTGAATTCTCAGTATTTTGGATTTTAGAAGGTGTATGCTACACATACCATAGAGTATGAAAGACTCCAAACAGGGCTGGGGCATCACCCTGTAATCAAACGTAATATTTCAGCAAAGCTCATTAAATGGGATGATTAAAGGCTTAATAGAGCCTTATGGCAGTTCAGGACAGATTTTATAGCCAAATGAGTCAGCTCAAGTTTTGTCATCAAATGAATTAGTGAAAAACAATTGGTTTTCAGAGATGTTTAGATTTCAGAATTCTGGAGAATTCATTATGGACCCATATTCCAGTCATAGGGCTCTGCTTTTATTTTCTTCTCCTTTGCAGGCTTGATGGTCATTAGAATTGCGGATTGTGTTTTAGAGTGTGGAGGAGAAATGACTGGCTGTGTAGGGTGGATTTTGCATTATGAACTATAGAAGTAAATGGCTACCTAGCTAAGAAGACCAATTCAGGTGTATTTATTCTTCAGTAATGACAATAGTTTCATTTATTTTTCTAAAAGCTCAAATTATGAATACATAGCTTCTCTTAATGAAACCTCAGGTAAATGAATTTTCTCTTAATCATTTGTGTTTACTTGGATTTGGGACCATCACATTTAATTGTGTGCAATGCAGTTGTTATTGTTTTTTTGTTATTGTTGTTGTTGTTTTTTCCAGGTATGTCTCTCTTACTAGACAGTGAGCTCTTTTAGGGAGGGAACATGCTGTTTTCATTATCTTTGACATCTGGCATAATAAACATTCATGTTGACCTGTTTCTAGAAAAAGCAGCCAGGAGTATGGGGAGGAGGTAGGTGCATTGCTTTGGCTTGAGGTTTGGCATGATGGTCTCCCAGAGGAGTCATTATGATCACTTGTATTAAACTAACTGTCATGAGTAAAACCTTAAGAAACAGATTTCTGGGACTGCATCTGACTGACCGACTGCTCTGCGATTGGGAAAAACTGATCTGTGTCTGTATCTGTCTATTTTGTTTTGGGCTTTATCCAGGGTCCCTGTGCCTGCTGACATCATCCTTTACCTCCTTGAGAAGTAGAGGGCAAGGAATGGGTTTTGGTACCCTGTGACGTTAGGAAGACTTTTTCTCATCGTTGTAATTGCTTCATAATTGAGCGGGAAAACAAACCTTCCAACATTATAGATATCTTCCTCCAAGTGGATAATGAGCTGTGTCCTCTTTGCTTTTTTGCCATTTGCCATGCTCCTCCAAGCAGCAGCGAGGGTGAGAAAACTTTGGAGTCCAGCAGACTGGGGATTGAATCCTTGGCTTGCCTATTTGCTAGTTCATTTTGGTGAAATTACCTTCAATCACTGAGTCAGGTTCTCACCTTTGAAAGGATGGTGATTAATAGATAAGGTTGACCTCACAGGTGTGTAGTAAGGATGAAATGAGATACCTTAAATCATGTGTCTTTAAATGAGGTACTTTAAATAACTCAGGGGATGAGCCACTTAGTAAGCCTGGAGAAATGGTAATTTCCTGTCTCAGCTTTGGTAATCTCTTTGTAAGCCATGAGACTTGTAGATAGTTAACTCTGGCATTTATTTGAGAAATTTAGTTGTCATTACAGCAAGGGTTGACATATTAATTAGAGCAATGCCCTTTTCACATAACTGAGTCAAATATCATAATAAATGCCATTAATCTTGGAAAGTCGAAAAGGAGATCCTGAGAGGCGAATTAGTGCTGTGCCAAAAATGGAATGAGAACTCAGGTTCAAGGATCAAGGTCGCAGCCAATTTAGCCGTGGGTCATAAGAAGCATTTGCTGGAGCAGTCTGACAAATTTTGTTGAACCTGGCACCAGAATGCAACCCCTCTTGCCTTAGACCATTCTGCTGTGCATCCTCCTCAAAGTCCCATGGCCATTAAGATGCGGGGCCTGGACTTGAAATTCAGCCTTTTGACTTCAGACTGGGGTGCTTCTCACTACTGTATGCCTCCCTGCTCTCACAAAGCTCCACCTGCCCAGTACACATTCCTAGAGGTGTCAAGGGGTGAGGAGAGTAATAGTTGGTAAATGTTATGAAATCTTACATTCAGTTTCTCTGCTGTAACATGGGATGATTATATCTACTTCTATGGTACTGTTGTGAGAATTATAATGCAATGATAAAAGTAAAAGTGGCACACACAACAATTAGTGTCACCCATTTTTTAGCTAATACTATCAAGGTATGGATTTACATCATTCGAGTTGAGGTAGTTGCCTATTTTCAAAGTTGTGGATAACTATAAGGAGATGAACCTTATAAAGGGAATAGAAATGTGCCCTTAGGATTCTAGAATGGACAGAAAACTAGCCCACCCCAGGTGAGTCCACAGTGATTGGGAGCTGGCATTAAACTGGACTTGAAAGAGCTTGAGGGATGCAGGAGAGCGAGTCAGGCCATTCTCAGTGTGAAGGCTGAGCCTGGCTAAAAACCTGGGCCAGCTTCTCGGGGCACATGGTCTGTGGTCACTTGCCAGCTGGGCATAATGGGAGGTAGTGTGGTGACTGCAGACCACCAAAGGGAATTTGTATTTGGTCTTTGCGATTAAATGATGACTTTCAGCAGGGCTGATTAGATGGACACACTTGTTAGGCTAGGGATGACTGTCTTCCAGGAGTTGAATGTGGCTTGGATAAGGTTTTGGAAGAAAATGAGAGTAAAGTAGTTGGATTTGGCAGGAAGTTAATAGTACAGACTTTATACCAAAGAGTGTAACATTATCCCAAGACTGTGGCTAGAGGAGGTGAATCTATCTGTGACTGCCCAGTCAGGTTGGTGGGATGGGGGAAACATTAGTGAAGCTCTGTGAGCTCTTTCTTAGCCTTTAATTACAGTAATATTTTGTTTCTTTGCAATATAGCATCTCGAATATTCCAAATGGAAATTTCTCTAGCATGTAAAGCCAATTCTTTTATTCATTTTTATTACCATAATGTAGTATACGTTATGACAAGGTAATTTAATTTAGAAAATTTGACTTTGTGTAAGAACCACATGCCTGTTTAGCTTTTTTTTTTTTTCTTGAGACAGAGTCTCGCTCTGTGACCCAGGCTGGAGTGCAGTGGCACTATTTCAGCTCACTGCAAGCTCCACCTCCTGGGTTCACGCCATTCTCCTGCCTCAGCCTCCCGAGTAGCTGGGACTACAGGCACCCACCACCCCACCCGGCTAATTTTTTTGTATTTTTAGTAGAGACGGGGTTTCACTGTGTTAGCCAGGATGATCTTGATCTCCTGACCTCATGATCCACCCTCCTCAGCCTCCCAAAGTGCTAGGATTACAGGCGTGAGCCACCATGCCCAGCCAGCATTTATTTTTGTATCTTTTTATTAGTTGGCAGTGGTTGATCCTTTCCTGAGGCCAAGTATTTGAATTTGTTTGACAGGTGATTAGCCAGCTGTCTAAATTGGGTTTGAGGTGACATTATAACCCCAACTAGGCATGAGGAGTGACTCCGTGTTAGTCAGAGGCCTCAGACCTGAACTCGCCCTTGCTGGTAACAGCTGAAAGACTCTAGGAGCAAGATATTCAGGGACTTGTGGGACAAGGAGATTGTTGGTTCAGAGGATAGTGTGAAGGGCTTATCTCATAAATATCTGGATTGGCTGTAACACAAAGTGACTGCAAAATCAAATGATCTGCTTGGAAAACTTCCCAGAGGTAGCTTTAGAAGTTCCAAAGAAATGTCAGATTCTATCTCCCAATCCCAAAGTCGGGCTTTTAATTAAGTTAAGAGTTAGTCGACTAAGGCAAATGACCTGATGCTTTTATCTGGAAAGAAGTTATCCTCGCCCACGTCAGTGTGTTGATGCCGTGAATGTAGGTTCCCGTTACTGAGTATACCATTCAGTAATTACCAAGAAAAATAGAAAGAGTGCATGGTCACCTATTGGCTTTCTCCCTCCACACTCACCGAAAGTACCATCTTGATAAAAATATCAAAATATCAGGAGCTTATGATAACAGTTTATTACAAGTAAAACATTCAAAGACTCATCTTGCTGACTTTCTTTTACATCTGGCTACTATTATGTATAATTTCTCTGCAGTCAGGGCATCCAGCGTGGTGCCCTTTAGTTAGGTTGTACCATAGATGATAGTCCACAGAGAAGCATTTTGGTCCCAATAAGCAGCATTTTGTGGCAGAAAGAGCTCTGGAGTCAGCAGACTCTGGCTGCACATCCTGGCTTTCAGGCGAATAAATGCGTCACCTTTGTCAGGCTACTCTTTGAACCTCAGATTCTTCGGTGAAGTGGTGATACTATCTGTGTCAAGGGGTTGTGAGGATTCAACCAGTATTATATGCAGTATGTACATATGTACACATATAATTATATACATATTATATATAAAATATAATTATACATGTACAATATATACAAATATACATGTTTTATATACATATAATTTATTACAGTGTGTGGTATGTAAGTTTCCTGGGTTTTTTTTTTTTAAGTTCCTTATAACTTTTACCCTCTCTTCTCCAAAATAGTCTTGCCATCAGATATGATGACATGCAGCTCAGCTTATGTCAGGAAAAGTCTACAAATGTGGAATATCTTTTTTTTTTTTTTTTTTTTGAGAAAAAGTCTCACTTTGTCACCCAGGCTGGAGCACAGTAGTGTGATCATAGTGCACTGCGGCCTTGAACTCCTAAGCTCAAGCAATCCTCCTGCATCCGCCTCCTGAATAACTGGGACTACAAGTGTGCACCACCACACCCAGATAATTTTTAAATTTTTTGTAGAGACAGGGTCTCACTTTGTTGCTCAGGCTGATCTTGAACTCTTGGACTCAAGTGATCCTCATACCTCAGCCTCCCAAAGTGCTATGATTACAAGTGTGAGCCACTATGCCTTGCCACATCATATAATATCTTGATTTTAAAGACTGCAATTGGCTAGCTGAGATACTCACCCTAAATTTTTTTTATTTAAACCTATTCATAACTCTCAGATCAGACTCCTATTAATTATATGTTTTATTACAAATTTCAGGTAAGGTTGGTTTCTGAATTAGAATAATAAATTTGAAATTTCAGTACTGAAACCTTAATAAAGGGGTCATTACTCAAAATTTAACAAGTAAAGCCATATTAATTTAAAATAATTTGGAGGACATCCAGTCTTTCATGGTGACAAAATGAAATTTATAGAGTACTAATAGATATATACTGTAGCCCTGTTTCAAAGAATAAAACTTGCATAAGGTGCTAATAGAGGCAATGTAATAAATTTTCTTTTTACTCCTTACTATATATCTATTTTTTTTACAAAATAATGTTATAATTGTAACTGTTATATGTAAGAAAGACTCTTTAATTCCTTGACTGTAATTTAATATAGTCACAGAATTCAGATCAGATTTTCCTTAACTAGAAAGGCAGTATACCATAGTGTTTAAGTACAGAGGCATAAAACAGACTGCCTGGATTAGAAATATGACTTTACCACTTGCTAGCTGAACAACTTTAGCTAAGTTACTAAACCTCTCTGTTTTCTCTATTTGTAAAATGGGGACAATAATAGCTTCTATCTCATAAGGTAATTGTGAGAACTGAATGAATTCATGCCTGGGAAGTTGTTAGAATGTCTATCTAGTACACAGTGTTAGCTGTTTCTAGAACTTTGAAAATTGTCAGAGAATTAGTATATTTTCTGTTTATTTCTGTCAAAGCGATTGACAGAAATGAACAGGTGAGAAAAATTAGGATAAAGTAGTAAAAATGAAAAAACATAAAAATAGATGATAAAATTGGGGGGGAAACTGCATACCATGCAGTTGAGAGAGTGGGTAAGTGTGTGGGCCCACAGTGCTGCTCCCCAGTCCTCAGAAAAGAGAAGCTGTGGCCCAGGGACCACAGCAGCACTGTAAGTGTGATGGCTGTTTTTATAGATCTGTCAATTAAAGCTCTCAATACAAGCTTCTTGTATTAATGTCAAAGTGCAGATCTAAACTTGAGACCCCTGCTGGTCAGGAACATCCAAACTGGTAGAGGCCTTAAGTATTAGATGACGATCTGTCAGTCCCGTATATCTATCTTAAAATTTCATGACGTTCTGCAACACAACATGCTGTAATAAATGTCCTAATTTGAGGAAATTGGGACTGTACAGTGGCTGATTAATCTAAAAAAAAGGAAGAAAAATTGATTATAATAGGAAATCATTTTAAAATAATGCATAAACACCTTATACGTTTTACTTTAACTTAAAGCATAATTTAAGTAGCAGCCTGATCAGTAAATAGTTTTTTCTTATGCTGACTTCATGGATACCATGGTGTGTTTTCCATCATCCAAGGCATGTTCTACTTGCTGTAAAACATGACACTGCCAATATTTTACTAAAGGTTCTCATGGGATTTCAGGTTGTCTTTTTTTGCATGTGCGTGCACACACACATACATTGTGGCTTCTTTTTTTTCTTAACTTAAAGCTAATTCACATTATGCAATTCAGCTGTGTCAAGTTTTTGTGTACAATTTAAATGGTTACAACTGTTTCTGATGAGCAAGACTCTAAAGCCACCTGGAAATGGAAGCTAAGTAGTGTGCACTGCCTCTTAAGATTATTATCTCTAATTTTTTACATTTCCTCTCTTAATTCAAGTGAAACCTTTTTAGTGACTTGCCTTCAATGAGTCTTTGCAAATTTAACTTAGTTTTCATAGCTAAATTCATATTTGTGAAAGTAAGTGTAACTCAGACTTCTCCAACAAGTGAATTCTAATTGCAAATAAGACAGTAGAACAGCTAATCAGTTCTACTGTCTTATTTAGTACATATTAACATAGTTACTGAGAGAGAAGTGTGCTTTAAGAGATTCAAGTATCTAAAATGGTTTAGCCAGAGTAATCTCATCTTTTTCTATTTTATTTTTATTTTAGCAGATTGCCAGGCTCTAATTCATATAGCACAAGAAAGTAATTTCTATGCTTAACTAGCAAATAATTAACCATGTAATTTTGTTTCTATAGAAGATTGGTAATAAAATTGAACTTACATACATTGTTTAAAGAAAAATAATCTGCTCGTTTTTCTTTTTTTTTTTTTTTTTTTTTTTTTGAGACGGAGTCTCACTCTGTCGCCCAGGCTGGAGTGCAGTGGGGTGATCTCAACACACTGCAAGCTCCACCTCCCGGGTTCACACCATTCTCCTGCCTCAGCTTCCTGAGTAGCTGAGACTAGAGGCGCCCATCACAACGCCCGGCTAATTTTTTGTAGTTTTAGTAGAGATGGGGTTTCACCGTGTTAGCCAGGATGGTCTTGATCTCCTGACCTCGTGATCCACCTGCTTTGGCCTCCCAAAGTGCTGGGATTACAGGCGTGAGCCACCGTGCCCGGCCTAATAATCTGCTCATTTTCTAATGGAAAAAAAAAAAAAAATGCCTGCATCATAGGTATCCTGCACAGGTATAGTTATATTATTGTTTAACAAATCACTTGAAAAATAAACTTACTGTTTAAAAATATAACTTTTTGAAGACATCAAAGTAAGTTAACCTTAAATTATGGCCAATTAGTGGCATAATTGAAATCTCACAAAAGAAGGATATGACACAGACCAGAGTGGATCCCAGTGTGTCCCTGGGTTCTGCAGAAGCACTCTGTGGTGACAGCAGAGGTGGCACCTCCCACCACGGGTAGCTGCCATGGTGGACACAGTGATTTACTGTTGTTAGTCTGTCGAGGTTTCATTTCTCTCTGATTCCTTGTCTGAGTTTTGAAAATGACTGTCCCAACTCAATGTGATGTGGTGTACTGATTTATAGTGGAACTACAAACCAGAATAAACAACAGTTTCATAATTTTGCCAGGTATATGTTTTTGCTTAAAGTATCTTGATAGGCAAAGGATTTAATTTTATCACAAAATTTATAAAAGGCACCAGGTATGGTGGCTCATGCCTGTAATCCCAGCACTTTGGGAGGCTGAGGCAGATGGATTGCTTAAGCTCAGGAGTTTGAGACCACCCTGGGAAACATGGGTGAAACCCCTTCTCTACAAAAAATACAAAAATTAGCCAGGCATGGTGGTATGCACCTTATGTTCCCAGCTACTTGGGAGGCTGAAGTGGTAGGACTGCTTGAGCCTGGGAGGTGGATGTTGCAGTGAGCCGAGATTGCATCACTGCACTCCACATCCTGGGTGACAGAGTAAGACTTTCTCTCTCTCTCTCAAAACAAACAAACAAACAAGAATTCATAAAAGGCAACTTTTCCCTGAGACAAAAGTGAGACAGCATACTTTTTTTTTAATCATATACGTTTAAAATTTGTATTTTGATGTGGAGATCAATAGAAGTGGATTTCAGGATTTTGTACAATTTTTTTCTAAGGTTTTAATTAATTTATTGCAAAATGCTGTGAAAGGGCATATGAATCATGTGGTGTGCCTTTTTCCTTTGAGCTGGCAAAGAGGGCTTTTGACACAGCTCCTGTGTTCTCATTGTGGACTTGGCCCAGTCATTCCTCCCAGACATCATTTGCAGAGAGACCCTTTGGTTTGAGGTTAGAATATCTATTGTAAAGTAAAGCCTGGTTAATCAAATTTATGTCATATGAGCCAGCAGTTATGCTAGGTAGTTTTATTTGATGGCGGGTGGATCACCTGAGGTCAGGAGTTCAAGACCAGCCTGGCTAACATGGTGAAACCCTATCTCTACTAAAAATATAAAAGTTAGCCGGGTGTGGGTTCAAGTGATTCTCCTGCCAGGAGGCGGAGGTTGCAGTGAGCTGAGATTGCACCACTGCACTCCAGCCTGGACGACAGAGTGAGACTCCGTCTCAAAAAAAAAAAAAAAATTTAAATTACGTAAGTCATTTATGTGCACAGTGAGAAAGTCAAAGGATAAAAAAGTATATAAAATGATATAACTTCTCTAGTATCCAAAGAATCAACCATTAACAGTTTGGTATTCTCTATGAACTATTTTGCACATATAAAAATGGGCAGAAAACACAATTATGTACATAAATGTATCCAGCTTTTTAAAAAAATGAAACTGAATCATAGTATATCTGGTCTGTAGCTTGCTTTTTTACCTCTACCTAATTGTATGCGAACTACTTTCTTTGCAGATCTTAAAAAAAAAAAAGAAAAAGAGTGTTATTCAGATGAATGGATATATCATTATTTAATTATTCAGCCATATATTGATAGATATTTACAACGTTTTGTTTTTAGTGATTTGTTAGCATCTTCGAATTAAAAAAGAAAAACTGGATTCCAATTTGTAACTAGAAGTATTTTCAGAGGCCATTTATAGAGCGTGGTCCATACAAGAGTCTCCTAGATAAGGAAGTTATTACTTTGCTCAACAGATAGGACAAGCAAATCACAACAGGAAAAGGAGTGAACAATGCTAAGATCGAACGAAGCCTGTGTACCAAATAATTGAAGAGTCATATGACGTGAAGGAGAAAAGCACTCTTCAGTGGTGTCATGGAAATTGAAGTCTCAAGAACAAAGAATTTTACTCAATGAACATATTTGCTTATTTTGCATGGGCCCTATGTTTGTTTTAAAATAGGAATAAAGGCCAGGCACAGTGGCTCACGCCTGTAATCCCAACACTTTGGGCCGCCAAGGTGGGAGCATAGCTTGAGGCCAGCCTGGACAGCATAGTAAGACTCTGTCTCTATAAAAAGTAAAAAAATTAGATGTGGGGGTCTGAACCTGTAGTCTGGAAGGCTGAGGCGGGAGAATTGCTTGAGCCCAAGGGTTTGAGGCTGCACTGAGCTATGATTGCCACTGCACTTCAGCCTGGGCAACAGAGTGAGACTCCAACTCTAAAAAATAATAATAATAAGATGAAAATGAAGAAATAAAATGAAAACATTTGAAATAATAGTCGAATGACACAACTTTAATGTCATAAGGATTTCTTTCTTATACAGTGTAGTGTTTGGGGGGCAGGTAAGGGATGGGTGTTATTTATTTCCTTTTGTAAAATTTCAAATAAAAGCCATAAGGAAATACTTTATGAAGTGGAGTAGCATGTGTGTATCTTGAAAAACTGAATAACCAGCCATTGTATATAGCAAAGTCATTAGCTGTTCTTGTCTTTTGTTTTAATAATTGTATGTGTAGAGTGCATCGTGTCACCCAGGGCAAAGGCAGGGAGCCATGACTTAGGCCAGTTCATTGTTAACCATGGTTTATTGTCAACTGTAGTGTATGAGGGTGCTCTTAGTGAATTCAAACCTACAAAGGCAAAGTTGGTGACTAATTTTTAAAGTATTTTTCTCTTAGCAGTGACATTTTTCACTAAGACAAAATTTAAAATAGACTGGGCAGTCTGAGTGGCAGGGGCTTTCAAATGACGTTTCATACCTAGTGTCATAAACATGGAATCCCTCAATTAAGGAGAATGAATTGTGAATAGGGACGGGCTACTTTGGTACATGCCACCTGTTTGCTTACTGCTGTATTTGAAGACAGAAGTTTTATCATGTCTTTGCTAGCATCAGATATGGCTGTTATATCTTACAATAACTTTGTGTTGTTATTGTCATTCATTTTACTTATGGAGAGCCACCTAATGTTACCTCTAGTGGCTAAGCATGCTTTCCTCTGAGATGTAAGGAAGCCACACCAGAGCTGGTCTTTTCTGCTTTGCTCACTTCTTTTTTCTTAGTGCCTGGAATGTGGCAGGCACTTAGTAAATAATGTTAAATGTTATGAAGTATATTAGTCCATTTTCACGCTGTTAAATGAATGAAATGTATTAGTTCATTTTCATGCTGCTGAAAACGAAAGACATACCCTAGACTGGGCAGTTTACAAAAGAAAGGTTTAATGGACTTACCATTCCACATGGCTAGGGAGGCCTCACAATCACAGCAGAAGGCAAGGAGGAGCAAGTCATGTCTTACATGGATGGCAGCAAGCAAAGAGAGAGAGCTTGTGCAGGGGAACTAATCTTTTTAAAACCATCAGATCTCATGAGACTTATTCACTATCACGACAACAGCATGGGAAAGAAGTGCCCCCATGATTCTGCCCCCATGATTCTGTTACCTCCCACTAGGTCCCTCCCACAACACGTGGGAATTCAAGATGAGATTTGGGTGGAGACACAGCCAAACCACATCATGAAGTAACAGAATATTTGCCTACCTGTAGCTTATGCAAATAGGAATTTGAATCACATAATAGGAAGCCCAGAGGCAGGTGGCTGCTACCATTTGTCATAAGCTCAAGGCAGCATCTCTGATTCTCCCGGCTTTTTTCTCATAATCACAAGATGACTGCCATAGCTCGACCATAGTGTTAAAGGCAGGAGAAAGCAGGATAGGGTGGTGTCAGCAGATATCTGCTCACATCTCAGGGGCCAGCCTCAGGTCACACAGCTGATGCTGACTACAAGGGGTGGAAATCAGCAGAGGCAGACGAAGGGGATTTTGAGGGGACTATGGCGGCTGAGTGGTGAAGCATTTTGGGATTGAATGCTGGGTACACCGCCACCTTCCTACACTGCCACTGTACCTATTGTTTAAATTTGTATTTCTTTTTTTTTTTTTTTTTTTTTTTTTGAGATGGAGTCTCGCTCCATTGCCAGGCTGGAGTGCAGTGGCGTGATCTCGGCTTGCTGCAACCTCCACCTTCTGGGTTCAAGCGATTCTCCTGCCTCAGCCTCCTGAATAGCTAGGATTACAGGCACTCCAGCCTGGGTGACAGAGTGAGACTCTGTCTGTATTTAAAAAAAAAAAAAAAATCAACAACAAGTGAGTTACTTCCAAGATACAGTGGGGGTACATTTATTGGGTAAATGCTCTTGATCCAAATGGGAAAAATTGGCCAAAACAAAGGGGCTACAGGCCCCATGCAAGACTGAAACCCAGCAGAACAGCCATTAAATCTTAAAGCTCCAAAATAATCTCCTTTGACTCCATGTCTCATATCCAGGGCATGCTGATGCAAGAGGTGGGCTCCCAAGGCTTTGGGCAGGTCTGCCCCTGTGGCTCTGTAGGGTACAGCCCCCATGGCTGCTTTCATGGACTGGTGTTGAGTGTCTGTGGCTTTTTCAGGTACATGGTACAAGCTGTCGGTGGACCTACCATTCTGGGGTCTAGAGGATGGTGGCCCTCTTCTCACAGCTTCACCAGGCAGTGCCCCAGTGGGGACTCTGTGTGGGCTCCAACCCCACATTTCCCCTCACATTGCCTTAGTAAAGGTTCTCCATAAGGGCTCCACTCCTGCAGCAGACTTCTCCCTGGACATCCAGGCATTTCCATACATCCTCTGAAATCTAGGCAGAGGTTTCCAGACCTCAACTATTGCCTTCTGTGCACCCATAGGCCCAACATCATATAGAAGCTACTGAGGCTTTGGGCTTGTTCCCTCTGAAGCAACAGCCTGAGCTGTACCTTGGCCCCTTTTAGCTACAACTGGAGCTAGAGCGGCTGGGACACAGGGTGCCATGTCGTAAGGCTGCACAGAGCAGCAGGGACCCTGGGCCCAGCCCACTAATTCATTTTTTCTTCCTAGGCCTCCAGAGCTGTGATAGGACGGGCTGCAGGGAAAATATCTGAAATGACCTGGAGACATTTTCCCCATCGTCTTGGCGATTAACATTCAGCTCCTCTTTACTTATGCAAATTTCTATAGCTGGCAGCTTGAATTTCTCCCCAGAAAATGGGTTTTTCCTTTCTACCACATGGCCAGACTGCAATTTTTCCAAACTTTTATGCTCTGCTTCCCTTTTAAACATAAGTTCCATTTTCAGACCATCTTTTTATGAACACATATGACTTCATGCTGTTAGGAGCAGCCAGGCTACATCTTGACTGCTTTGCTGCTTAGAAATTTCTTCTGGCAGATACCCTAATCATCTCTCTCAAGTTCAAAGTTCCACAGTTCCCTAGAGCAGAGGCACAATGCCTCCAGTCTCTTTGCTAAAGCATAGCAAGAGTTACCTTTGCTCCATTTCCCAGTAAGTTCTTCATCTCCATCTGAGACAACCTCAGCCTGGATTTTATTGTCGGTATCACTATCAGCATTTTGGTTAAAACTGTTGAGCAAGTCTCTAGGAAGTTCCAAACTTTCCCACAATCCTCCTGTCTTCTGAGCCCTCCAAACTGTTCTAACCTTTGCCTATTACCCAGTTTCGAAGTCGCTTCCACATTTTCAGGTATCTTCATAGCAATGCCCCACTCCTGGTACCGATTTTCTGTATTACTTCCATTGTTATACTGCTATAAAGAACTACCTGCATGGCTGGGCGCGGTGGCTCACACCTGTAATCCCAGCACTTTGGAAGGCTGAGGCGGGCAGATCACGAAGTCAGGAGATCGAGACCATCCTGGCTAACATGGTGAAACCCTGTCTCTACTAAAAATACAAAAAAAAAATTAGCCGGACGTGGTGGCGGGCGCCTGTAGTCCCAGCTGCTTGGGAGGCTGAGGCAGGAGAATGGCGTGAACCCGGGAGGCGGAGCTTGCAGTGAACCCAGATTGTGCTACTGCACTCCAGCCTGGGCAACTGAGCAAGGCTCTGTCTCAAAAAAAAAAAAAAAAAAAAAAAAAAAAGGAACTACCTGAGGCAGGGTAATTTATGAAGAAAAGAGATTTAATTGCCTCACAATTCCACAGGCTTAATAGGAAGGATGACTGGGAGGCCTCAGGATACTTGAAATCATGCAGTTGGAAGGCAAAGGGGAAGGAAGGTTCTTCACATGGTGGTAGAAGAGAGAGACCCAAGCAGGAAGTGCCACACACTTTTAAATCATCAGATCTCGTGAGAACTCACTGTCATGGGAACAGCAAGAGGGAAATCCGCCCCCATGATCCAGTCACCTCCCACCAGGTCCCTCCTCCAATTTGACATGAGATTTGGGCGGGGACACAAATCCAAATCATATCAGGGGATTACATTTCATCATGAGTTTTGGAGGGGACAAATATTCAAACCATACCATCCCATGTTTCCCTGGGTTGATCTGTAAAATTTCAGCAGTGATTCCAGTGGCTCACTCCTTGGAACAGTCACTGTCAGTAGAAGTATGGAAGACCTGGCCGGGCACGGTGGCTCATGCCTGTAATCCCAGCACTTTGGGAGGCTGAGGCAGGCGGATCACCTAAGGTCGGGAGTTTGAGACCAGCCTGACCAGCATGGAGAAACCCCATCTCTACTAAAAATACAAAAATTAGCTGGGCATGGTGGTACTTGCCTGTAATCCCAGCTACTCAGGAGGCTGAGGCAGGAGAATCGCTTGAACCTGGGAGGCGGAGGTTGTGGTGAGCTGAGAGCGTGCCATTTCACTCCAGCCTGGGCAACAAGAGCAAAACTCTGTCTAAAAAAAAAAAAAAAAGGAAGACCTGATTGGCTGGCCTGAGTCATAGTCCTCCATGTAGCTGGCTGGCCCTGAGGTAAAGTGATGGGCGGGGGGGGGGTCATGGCAGAAGCACCTGGGATGGACTAGGGGTCACTGTTTCTGTTGTGGAAGCCAAGAGTGGGAACATGTGGAAACAACGAGTGTCTACCACAGACCTAAATTTATGCAGTTCTAGTTGAGCCTGTTTTTCTTTGATTTTTTTTTTTCCGTTGCCTCAAAGTTTAGAAGTCTGTCATTTTTCAAAGATGTACTACAATTCTGTTTTATGCTGGATTTTGCTATGGTTTGGTATTTTTATACGTTGCACAGTCCTCCTAGAGTTAATATGAAATACGATGTCGAGTGAGTTAGTGTAATGCTAAGGGCCATGAGCTCTTGACCCAGATTGCCTGGCTCCACCATTTAACAGCTGTGATTATGAAATTTTCCTGTGCCTCAGTTTTCTCAGTGCTAAAAGTAGGGAAAATAGTTCCTGCTATTTTGAATAATCTTCGTAGTTCAATGAGAAAATATATGCAATAATGTTAGTAGAGAACCAAGCAGAGTGTTTGTACCTAGTAAATATTAGCTGCCATTATTATTATTGTTGTTCTTTGTATTTCCTCTCCCCAACCTCTATTCTCTCATGTCGAGGGCAGAACCCAGGTTGGCTCTTCTTTTTTGTCCTGCTCTCTTTGTCAGCTTGTCACTTGCATTCTCTCGGCTAGTATCACCCTTGCGTAAAAGCAATTCAGTCAGGCAATGAAGAAATATTTACACAGAGCTTAAACCGTGCGTGTTTTCTTTGAGGCAGTGGTCCATTTTATCAAATCAAATAAGTAACATAATCAACTTTTGGTTTCCTTACCTCAGGTGCAGTACTTTAAGAAGGTAGTGTGGAGGAAATAATATATATACAAGGAATTAATTAGTATGAAGTTGATCCTCAGAAAATATACCAAATGGACAGAATTTAATGTAGCATTCTCTAATTTTTATGTAATTACATATATGAAAGCATATAAATAATATATATTTTTAAAGTGTAAAATGCATAAAAAGAAGGTAAAACTCCATCATAACCCCACTTCCTAGAAATAACCAGTGTTTACAGATTGATGTCTCTTAGGCTGCTTTCTATACAGATACATACACATTGTAATATAACTTAAGATATTTCATTTAAATAGTCACAAGGAGGAAAGGTTTAACTTCCCTAAAGAAATGTATGTACTTTCCCCCCAAGTTCTGGCACTCGGAATCCCGAGAAATCGGTGGAGGCTATTCTGTGTAATCTGATGAGAGTGCAGCTGGAAGAGGCGGGCTGCGTGGTTTTACATGACATTAACTAGGGATGTGGGGAAGTGGATCATGATGAGATTGAATAGCTGATGCAGTTATGGAAGGTGAGAAGGTTTGCTCAGCAGGAGAGAGATTTTCAATAGTAAGGTGAATTTTAGGCAGAAACAGACAACCAGGTAGTGAGCAACCAGAGGGAATCCATGGGAAATGGCCCTGGAAGACCACCACCAGCAAGTGTCTGTCCATCTGACAGCAGTTTATGGAAACTCCCTTGAGTGAGGGGCAAGGGTCAGTCCTGGCCAGGGTCACAGGTACCTGCTGGAATCTGGGATGGAAGCATGTGGTCACTTGTGCTGTTACTCTGACTTGTCTAGTTCTCCCCTATCCAGGCACAGGATACCATCACACTTCTCCTTTCCTGTCAGGTTAGATGTTTTTAGCTAATTGGCCTTGTCCAATAGAGTATGCGTGGAGACCTTGTAAATCTCTGCCTGAGTGTCCATTCTCCCTCTTCCTGGTACTGCAGAAGAGGTACTAGAGCAAGTCTGTCCAACCTGTGGGCCTCATGCAGCCCAACACAAATTCGTAAACTTTCTTAAAACATTGAGTTTTTTTTGCAATTTTTTTTTTTTAGGTCATCAGCTATTGTTAGGTGTTTTGTTTGTTTGTTTGTTTGTTTTTTGTCATCAGCTATTGTTTTTGATGTGTGGCCCAAGACAATTCTTCTTCCAGTGTGGCCCAGGGAAACCAAAAGATTGGACACCCCTGTACTAAAGGCTCTCCCACTCATGTGCCTGAGTGAAGATAGTGTAGAACAGAGCCTCAGCCGGCCCACGTGGCCGTGAAGCATGATTAAAAAATAAGCCTTGGCTATTTTAAGCCAGTGAGATCTGGGGCATTGTTTGTCATTGCAGCAAAACATAGCCTCTTCGTGATTGATAGTGGTGTCATCCTTTAGCCTCAACCCTGCAAAACCAATTTACCTGTTCCTGGGGCTGGTATGAGTTACAGGTGAGCTGGGCCAAGGTGAAATTCTGATGTAGCTTCTGTAGATTGGCAATCTTAAGCTCCTACCTAATTGAAAATAGTAGGTTTATTTTGGTATATAAAATATATTAATGGCCTCCTATTTTTTCATATATTATGGAAATTTGAAAGTAAAAAGGCTGAAAACAGGATAGATACAGATGTTTTGTAAGGCAGTGAGGACAGCACCATAAAACAATAGGTCTGTGCTGGGCCTTTCTCCCATAGACACTAGCAGTGCAGGGCTGATGCCTCAGGTACCTGGTGCCCCCAGCATACCAGCCATAGGCCTTTTGCCTCTTTCAGCGGGTACTGTGGCTGATACTTTTGGAACCCACAGTCATTAGTCTATCTGTGTACTATAAATCCCCTAGTACATACAAGGTGTGGGAAGAGATTTAGCAGTTCTCCAAACCAAGCTACCAACCAGAGCAAGCAGGCTCCTGTTGGCTAGTTCACAATGTCCCCCCTTTCCCCCTCCTCCTCACCCACCCACTGTGATCTCTGGAGTAAGCTCCAGCCCTCACCCAGTTCACTACCCTTAAGGAGTGAGCCCTATGAGGAAGGAGCATGGGCACTTACTCTGTCCACTGGGGTTTTGAAGGCCTCCACCTCACGATGAAGTCAGAGGATGCTTCTGTTTAGCACTGGCCTGCATTGCTGCAAATGCCAGCCTTTCCCTTCTTACTAATTTTTAAAAAAGACTTTCTGAGGTGGAGGAGGTGGTCATAGGAGACAGCAGCTTAGTATAATTAGTTAAGGTGGAAAGGCAATTTGTACAAAATTCAATTGTTCTTCTGTAAGAACCACCACTATAGATTCAATAAAACTGTTTTCCATTAATAGAATTTTCTTATCTTTAAATGCCTTGACAAAATTACAAAACCAATGTGACCTCTCAGTGTACTGGTATTTGCTTTGTTTTGGTAAAATGACTTTGCCACTCCCTAAGTGACAAGCCAGTGTATTAGTCTGAGGTGCGGGTTATTTTTCTCTTAGAGTTGTCAGACATTTTCTGAGGGAGAAAGAGCCTGGATTTGTGTGTGTATGTGTGTGAACGTTGTGTGGATACAGGTGTATGCAACTGCCAGTAACTTCCTTTTACAGGGATTGATGTTTTCACTTATAAAATAGATGCTTTTCTCTGCCTCAGTTTTGCAGCTATATAGATTAAATCCTAATGTAGTGAGGAGTCTGAAGATTGGTAGTTTATTTTAGGACTTTTGAAGTAATAGAAAAAAGGGCAGAGGCAAGAATTGTTGTTTCTAGGCAGTGAATGACCTTATGGGCTTATCTTGCTAACCCTTGGCAGTTTTCATCTCACTTGTTTTTACAGATGCTGAACAGCTAATCCAGTGACCTGAGGAAGGAAGCACTTGCCATTCATCCTCAGCTGAGTTCTGTTTCAGCATTTTACATGATGTTACAGCCAATGATTTGGACTTTTAGTTCTCCTTTAGTTCATTGCCTTGAAAACTTCAATGTGTATGTGAAATACCTGTTCACATGCAGGTCCTGATTCACTGGAACTGGAGTAGAGCCTGAAGTTCTGCATTTTAACAAGCTCGCAGGTGCTGCTGCTAGTCCAAGGACCACACTTGAGTTAGAATCAGTGAAGTGTACTTACTGGTGGTGGTAAATGCTGGCCTCAGACCATACTGCCTGAGAGCATATTTCAAGTCCAGCTGCTGGGAGATCAGGCACTTCATATATGTGTACCTTTACGTAAAAAATAATCATACATAACGCTTATTGAATCTTTCTGTGTGCCAGACAGTTTTTGTTTTATTTCTCACAACCTCTCTATTTGTGGGTGAGACTTGCTCAAAGTCCCAAGTTAGTAGTTCCGCAGCCAGAATTCATACACATTTGTCTGACATCAGACCCCATCCTTGGAACTCTTACACTGTACTCAAAGTTCTTTAGCATTCATGTGGATTTTGACGAAAGAACACTCTAAAAGAGCTTGAGAACTTTACTTCTCTCTGCCTCCAACTTCCCAGTCACCCATGACACTCAGGTAATTCTAACTTAGCTGTTGAGATCCCAGTGTTCAGGCAAGAGAAGGTGCTAGCTACCATTGTAGGCTGTTGTCTAATTGTCTGTTTTGCCTCAGAATTGCATAACACAAATCACATTTAACCAGATAAAGTGTTTACTAATAAACTTGGAATTAACTGTGTGATCAGTTTATTGAGATTTACCATTTTGATAAAGTTTACCAAATTGAAAAAACATTTTCTGTAAATTGTTTAAAAATTTACTGAAGTGCATTATTGTAAAGGTATTTTTATACATTGGCATGATTTATAGGCTTTTCTTGAATAAGTACCTGTCGGTTAAAAAAAGTTGAACAGGCACCCCAATAAATGCCATATTTATATGTTATATACTACTGTGCCAATAAAAGTATATACATTACAGTCAACCCAAAAGAAATTGTGAAAGCATGAGATGTCAGTGAAGTACAGTATTTTTAATGTCTTGTCAATCAGATGGATTCATTCTATTATACAGTAACATCTCAAGGTGTAGTGTGTGTGTGTAGATCCGTATCTAAAATGGTCATCTTGGTCATTTCTTTCTTGATAATTTTATTTTTTTGGCCAATGTCTTGTCAGATCTGATCAGATCATCTTTGCATTTACTCCATATATGGCTGGTGAAGAATCCATTCTGGGAGTAGAAAAAATGTCACCTCTGCCATTTTCTTGTTTTTGCTTATGCTTAATTTGTTTTATTTTCACTCTTTGGTTTTTTGGCAGTGATGTTTTAAAACTACTTGTTCATTTCCTGCAGTTAGTTGAGCTAGATTCACAACTCAGACGCACACCTACCTGGGTGGATGTGTGCAACAGAGCTCAGTAAGCTAGCCGAGGTGTGTGTTATAGATGGTGCCTGGCCCCTGTGTACCTGCCTGAGGTAGGGAAACCAAACATTATACAGTACAATGTACTGTATAATGTGAAAGAATGATATTTCAGTTCTTAGCAGAGAACCGTTGATACAGGTGTTCTAGGCTATGTACTCAAGTAAGTAAGCAGAAAATAGCTTTTCTGGATTAAGAAGATAAAACCTGCAGGTATTTCCAGGTTGGCCGCCTTTTATGTTTGTTTGGGTTTTTTGTTGTTGTTGTTGTTGTTGTTGTTGTTGTTGTTTTGTTGTTTTGAGACAGGTTCTCTTGTACCTGGGCTGTAGTGAAGTGGCATGATCACGGCTCACTGCAGCCTGGACATCATGAGCTCAAGTCATCCTCCCACCTCAGCCTCCCAAGTAGCTGGGATTACAGGCACGCACCACCATGCCCAACTAATTTTGGTATTTTTTGTAGAGACGGGGTTTCACCGTGTTGCCCAGGCTGGTCTCGAACTCCTGGGCTCAAGCGAGCTGTCAGCCTCGGCCTCCCAAAGTGGTAGAATTACAGGCATGAGCCACCGCACCTGGCCAGCCCTCTTTTATGAAGCTGTTTTTCCCTGGCAACTAACAAGAACTGTATAAAACATAGTGCATATGTGTGCACGCAGTTTGCTTTTATCTGTGGAACATATTGTGTGTCAGAAGTGTGAAGTGACCCACAACTCAAGAAGTAAAATGTGAATGTTAGACAATAGTTAGTGATGAAAAATGGAGTTGTGCCGAGCCTCTTTCATCTGGAAGCACTGCAGAAAACCCGTGCAGAGTCAAGCTGTGGGCCCAGGGTGTGGTCAAGCCGTTCTAAGCATGTGGCAGGTAGAGTCAGCTCTGGACATGAAGGAGCTCATCTCCGTCTGTAGTGCATCTGAGCACTGGCTCTGCATTCATTTCCTCTCAGGTGCTAGTGTTGTGACTAGCTCTGTACTTTTGGAATTGCTCTCTAGTAGATGGATACAACACCTCCTCACTTTTTTTTTTTCATTTTAAAAAATATATAGGACTTCTTTATAATTTTGAGTGATCATTGGTTTTTGTAAGAGTGTTTCCATCTGTATCTCAATATGGTTGAAAATTAAACAGTCAAAACCAGTGTGGTATTCTAGACTGATGTTTTGGATTCTGAATGTTGGCACTAGCTCTACAAATAAGTGCTGGAAAGGTCTTAGACAAAACTTCGGTGTATATTTTTCTGTATGCAAAATGCCTCCTGATTTATGAGAAAGTTGTGAAGGTTTCCATGGATATTATGAGGACAAGTTAAATAAAATTCTTTTGAGCTGCTTTGAGCTTCTCAGAAGTCTAAAAGAAAACCAAAAAACAAAACATTGCCTAAACCTAGCTCTTCCTTTACTCACCATAGGGAGCTTTTCCTGTCCTGGCATCCCATGCCCCCACACCCTACTCCCACCCCTTCCCCACCCCTCAGTTACCCTTCAGCTTTGTCATATTCCCAGTGTGGCAACACTGGACTGCAACTTTCAGTATCTCCAGTGCCTGGCACAAGGTTAATGCTCAGCTGTTATCTGAATTAGAGTTTAGAGAGGATGTGGATGGAGTCACAGATTGGTTTTTCTTTTAATTCAATTGGGAGATAGTGTTGACTGTCATTACTGTTACAAAATTATTTGTATGAATTGAGGGAAGTGCAGACTGTCTGAGAAAACAAATGAAGACTGGTGTTCTGAATAGAGAATCATACTCAAAATTAACTGGACTTTCTCACTTCCCAATTAAAGGGGGTAAGATGCCAGCATTTTAGACATTATTGTTGGAATATCTTTGATAACTCAAAAACATTGTACATTTTGTTGTAGATCAGTTTTTTAAAGACATGTTTATTTGGAAGATAATGCCATATTAAAGGTCTGAACTAAGCTGTTAGCTTTCAAGCCTTAAGTTTAGAAAGTATACAGTGTACATTTTGAAATGGCAGTTGATTTTGTAAAAGGTCTTCAGGTTATTTTTGTAGCTATATCCAAAAATAAATGATGACTATTGGAGTTATTAGAAAGCAAATTATCTCTGTGCCAGAATGCTGGCTTTGGGAGTTTTTTTTTTTTTTTTTTTGACAACTTATGTTGGGAGAATAACAACCGATAACAGCACACAATAAACATCTCAATGATTTGTTTTGTGTTTACTTAAAACAAGTTTATATATTTATAGTCTTGTTCTCAAGTGGCTGACATGAACAGTAAAAGTGATACTGGAAAACTTGTGGGAATGAATATCCATCAATTGCCGGAACGCTGATGGTTAACTGGAAATTTAAGTCATTAAAAATCTTCCCAGTGGTTTGCTGTGCACTACTTGAGCTAGACCAGCTTTCTGCAGCCCACCTCATCCACTGAGCTCCCGAGCTCTGCTTGAAAGCAGGTGAGGACCCTAGCTCATTCCCTACTTGGTCTTCCATTCTACTGTTCCCCTTCCCAAGCTGCAGTCTGTCCTACCAGGATAAGTTCCTTGTGGTGGCCCTTTTTCTACAGTGAGTGTCTCCAGGGACACTTTTTCTTTTTGAGACGGAGTTTCGCTCTTGTTGCCCAGGCTGGAGTGCAATGGCGTGATCTTGGCTCACCACAACCTCCGCCTCTCGGGTTCAAGCGATTCTCCTGCCTTAGCGTCCCGAGTAGCTGGGATTACAGGCATGCGCCCCTATGCCCGGCTAATTTTTGTATTTTTAGTAGAGACGGGGTTTCTCCATGTTGGTCAGGCTGGTCTTGAACTCCTGACCTCAGGTGATCCGCCCGCCTCGGCCTCCCAAAAAGTAGAAGGAGCTGTTTCCGCCCGGTTTTGAACCGGGGACATTTCGCGTGTTAGGCAAACTTGATAATTACTACGCTATGGAAACCCTGGGACATTTCTAATTAGCCCTGCTTAACTAGTATTTTAATTTGGGCGTCTCATTGCTCAGGTATGTTCCTTTTGCCTTAGTCACCTAGATATCTTGTAGTCAGTCAGCTAGTTCAGGTTTCTAGCTAAAACAACAACAACTCTTCTCATTAGAATTCACTTGTGTGCGTGTGTGGCGTCTTTACATGTAAACTTAGGAACTGCATCTAGGTTTGAGTGGTTGGTGCCACTACCATGTGGCTATGGGATGTTGGACAAAACACCTAACCTCCCTAAGTCTCAGTTTCCTATTTTGGAAGATAAGAATGGCAACATTTGCATCATATGGTAGTTGGGAGAATCAAAAGCTCTTACCCACCACACTCTCCTAATGTCTGATGTGGAAATGTCAGTCTCCACTCATGCTCCGGCTCTCTTCAGTTTGCTGGAACCT